>NC_000003.12:130826786-130978301 GCF_000001405.40 Homo sapiens | reverse complement strand
AGATTACATATGCTCAAAAAAAATCAAGGTTAAAAGCAAGTAATTCTATTTTTCCAAAGTAAGAGTCATATACCTAATTATTTATGTAGATGTGGGCTCCAAAGGCTTTCACCCTTGAGAGAATGAGCCACTTCACAGTTCCTGGTGTTAGGATAGAGGCTGATGGTAACAGAAGGGGACAGTGACAAAAATATATGTCAGCAAATCCTAAGACGGAAAGATCAGCTCTGCGCACTCCTAATGGAGGGGTGGCACTAGTCTAGAGGTTAGTATCCTGTATTTATTTGCTTCTTTAGCACCAGTGAAAATCTGCTGCTACTCTCTGAGTCAAGGATAGGTAAACTTTTTTCATGTGGAGAGCCCCTGACATAAAACAAAATATACTCTAATATCAAAATTAAGAACCACAGTATTTTAAGAAACTTGTTTCATAAGATGTAATGTAAGTACATATCAACTGAGGTTTAAAATCTTTCTGTTCTTCATTACGGTAATCTCAGGGGGAGGATGGAAGTGGAGCACAAGGGTAGATAAAGAAGAAAAGACATGAAGCAAGAGACAAATGAGCAGAATGTTTCCCAAAACTCTGTGCAACAAAAACTTTCCCCTCTACCAACTCTGGTCTACTTCATAATGTTACAGTACAAAACACACATACACAAACCTCCACAATCCTTCATATGAAAAGAATTAGTCAATATAATGAGGTAGGAAAACTTTGTTCCAGAAACTAACAAAAAGAGGGAGCATATATTAGACCTTCAAGACCTCTTTAAGTCCTCTAAATCCATGCCACTTTAAAACCTCTTGCTATGTGCTGCTAAGAGTAGCAAGACTCTGCCCACTTCCCTACCTTTTTTTCTCCACTCTTTTAATGCTTTATTAATAGCTGGAAACAAAGCCAACAAACTGGAAGTGATGACATCCCAGAAGTTCAAAAGAGGAAAGAAATGGGTTCACATTTTGTTCACCAACGGTCTTTTTAAAAAATAAATAAGTGCAACTTAGCAAAAGTAAATTTAAAAAGAAAGGGTCAAAGCCCCAGAATCAGGTGAATCAGGGGAGTAACAGGCCCTCTGCACCACAGTCTTCCCAGGATTGTCTCAGTGGAGCTGCCACTGCCCCTTCCGACACAGGCTTTATCAATCCAAACCCTAATTTTGTGGCAGCAAGGCCTCCCTGCAGTGCCCCTTAAGTCTCTGAAACTCCCACTTGCTCTAACGATTATAATCCTGGGTCAAGCCTTAACTGTCATTCTCTTTCCCTAGCTGAGGTGGAAAGTTGAGGAGTGTAAGGGGAACAAAAGTGTTACCCTGAGCCAGAGTATCTGAGCTTCCAAACAGTTTGGTCTGCCAACTGTTCAGAAGGGAGTGACGGTACAATGTACGAGGGCACCCCCTGTGCTCAATTATCCAGAGTGTCAGTTGGCAATTGTACATTTGGCTTGATAAAAACACATCAAAACCCTGTGGTTTCAGAGATCCTGCTATTCTTAGGTCTGGCCCAGGTAAACCAGAAAAGAGATTCCTCCTGCCCCAGAAATGACGCTGGGAGAAAGAATCTGCCTTGGCTTCAGGGGTCCAGAAAGCTTGAGGACTGAGGTGGGGGGATCCAGGGCATGTTCCAGATTCAGGCCTTTGGGATGAAACCCCAGAAACTCTAGAACCTGTCATCAAAGCCTCTTACATTAAAAGGGGAAAGGGGGAAGGAAAAGTTGTTTTCCTTTAAATTTTTTTCCATCCAAAATATCCATTTGCAAAATAACTTCTCAGCCATGAGTCTCTGCCTCCCATTTCCTTGGAGACAGGGGATGAAGTGTTAAGATGGTCACAATACAGCCCATATCCCAGATGAGATGCACCAGGCTCTGGGGGCAGGGGTATGAGGAGTGATCTTGGTTCAGCAGCACAGAAGGTTCAGAGAGAAGGGCAATGGCAGCAGGCTGGGAGCAATGTTCTCTGCTGGTAAGAGTACCTTTCCAAACTTAGTTTATTTTAAGAACAGAAGCCCTATAAATCCATCAAAATGTTTAAAACTCAAAAAAAGCCTTTGCTTAAGTGAACAACAAATAAAAACATTTTTCACATAACTTGTTTTTCTTCCTCCCAGAAATTGTAGTGCTTAGACTCCTATTTCATTAAAATAATAAAATTAAGGAAGCCAACTCTTCCAACTGCTGTGAGAGACTACATAACTACATATATTCTGCAGAAGCCAGATGACTATCCAGAAGGTAAGAATCAGGTTAGGACACCAACCACCAACCCCCGAGTCTTACACATGACATCCCTAGGAGAGGTGGCCTAATGTGTGTGTGTCCAGCAGACCCTCTCCCCATCACTGCTCAGTCAGCAGCATATAAGTAAGCAGAATCTGGGGACTTCTTTACCTCCCTGGTGAACAGTAACAGATCAAGTTAGCAATCACCTTAAAGGATATATTAGAGGCTTCAGACTCAATTTTTAGAAAAGTATTTTTGTCTTTAAAACAAAGTGATAAAAAGAGAGTAACACCATTTTACCTCGATCCATTTCCCTTCTCATAAGATAAACTTGTTTAAAATAAAATTTCTATCAGCTACTCAGAGACCTCTGGAGATCTAAAAGAACCAGTGATTCATATTTTGCTACATTCTCAAATTTCCATCTTTTGAGGGCCAATTAACCAACTAAAACTTAACACCTCAATACTGGCAAGGGTTCTACAAATCCTGGAAGTGAGTTGGACAGCTCAAATGTGAAGCATGAATTCATCTGCAATTAAAAGAAGGCTCTACCTTTCCACCCCAGGGGACTATGCTGAAATAGCCTTACCTCTGAGTCCCGCTGAGCCCATGCGTGCCTTCTCTTGTTGGTACACATCTCTCTGCTGCTGAGTAAGTGTCAAGGTCTGCCCTTTGCTCTGGTATGTAGTACAGTACTTAATTACTTGTTCGTAAGCACCTTTCATAAAACAAATCTCTGGTCTGTCCTAAGAAGAAAATGTACCAAACACAAGTTTAATTTCAACTTGTACTTACCTGCCATTGGAGTCCAAAATTAAGTGGCATTCATTTCTCATAATTCCCAGAGAAGTTACTCAAGCCTAAGGTTTTGACTGCCACCTGAACTCTGAAGATTAAATATTCCTATAGGGGAGCTTTCTGTATCTTCTATAGAAAACATCTATCCCACCATCCCACACATAAAAGGCAATGCTATACTAAGCCCCAAATTTGGCACTCTGAAATGTGGAAAGAGGCTCACTGCAACATAACAGGAAATGGAAGAGAAATAACAGCTCACAATGGTTCAAGTTCTCTATTAGCTACTATATACGTCTATATCTATCTACCTAAAACACCATTTAATTCTCCCAATCACACTGTATTTATGGGTATTATCGCACTTTTTCTTTTATTTTTTGTCATGGTAAATAATCTTCAAAAGCTTATAATGAAATACTGCAGTTTCCTGTTCAACGCTTCTCACCACTAGTCCTACTCCATGGAAGCAAAATAATTTTAACTCTCTTAGCTGTTTTCTCTGATATTTACCCTCATGTTTTTAACATGTTTATACTGCTACTCCATCAGTTATCAATTTTATACACTGTCTATTGTGACAGATGTTAATTTCCCCATTTCCACTATCTATTCCCCCCCTCCCCATCTTTATGATATAGCTAAAGCAAAATCTGCCAGTATTTTGTTTACAACAAGACTCTTTGCTGCTAAGCCAAGTGTGGTAATGACTATAGCAGTTCACAAATATCCCAGTTCTCCTGGGAGGCAGGAATGTATTTCCCTATTGCCGTCCTCACTCCACAACGGTCAGGTATGACTTGCTTTGGCCAATAAACATGAGTACTTGTGTCACTTCCAAATGGAAATGTAGGTGCCAGTGCACAATTTCCTATTCTTCTACCCCTGCTGTGACAGTGTGTGCTCACATTAAAATGGAGCTTCCATCTGCCTGCATTCCCAAGTAACTACAATGAGCAGATATTTGGGGACAGGGAGGCAGCAGGAGAGCATGATGTTGTTTTCATGGCCTATCCTGATTGATAGCTCAAATAGGATACTTCTTTTCCTGTTCAAGTTTTGTCTTTTATAAAGTTAATAACCACCTCTTTAATTTGTTTTCTGTATACCTATCATTCATTCTTCCTAAACTCTTCAATGTAATATAAAACCCTTCTCATGGTATTTTTTCACAACAACAAAGAAGCAGATAAGCTATTACCTCTATATTATTACTGGAGACCACCCTCCTTCAGTCTTCTTTCCATTTCTAATTGGCTGATTTCTAGGCCTGCTGTACCACTGGTATCTAGGAACAACCCTCTACCTCTATCCTCACTGAATTTTAAGTCTTTTAAGTCTCCCTTTTCTTTTTTTTCTTTTATCCACCAATATCTAAGAAAGGGTGTGTGGTGTGGGACACATTTTTCTTCTATCCTCACATTTGTAAGTTTAGCTAGGGATAAATTTCCTCTCATTTTGAAGGCTTTGCTCTATTATCTTCCAGCCTCCAGTGTCAATGTTTTCATTGAAAAGTATAAAGAAATTAAAGTAGTGTCCCCTTATCCAGGGTTTAATTTCCTGCAGTTTCTGTTACTTAGCAGCAGTCCAAAAATATTAAATAGAAAATTCCAAAAATAAATAATTCATAAGTTTCCAATTATACAACATTCTGAGTATGGTGATGAAATCCCACTCTGTCCTGCCAAGGACATCATCCCTTTGTCCAGCATATCCACACCGTATATGCTCCCTGCCCATTAATCACTTAGTAGCCATCTATGTTACCGGATCGAAAAAAACACGGTATATATAAGGTTCAATATTATTCATGGTTTCAGGCATCCACTAGCAGTCTTGGAATGTATCCCGCTGGGCTAAGTGGCAGACTACCATACTTTAGTTCCTAAGCCCTTTTATATGATCTCCCCTTTGCTTAAAGCTCTCTAGAAGCTCTTCGAATTCTCCCTCTCCAAGTGTCCTCAAATTTCTTAATTATGGGTCTTGTGTTTATCCCTCACCCCACTCTGCTTTAACATACATATTGTGCTGAGCAGTTGGTGGGCCACTTTATTCTAGATGCTAAAGTCTTTTCATTCTGGAAAATTTTCCAGCATTAGTTGATAAAATCTTCTCATTTTCTGTTCTTTCTTCCTATTACCTATTCCTATTACCCTTCCTATTACCACTATGGGGTAATTACTGGATCTTCTGTATTTGTTTTGATTTTTACCTTTTATACTGTACATGTCTTTGACTTTCTGTTCTACTTTGATACATTTCTTGACTTTATTTAATAAACATTTTATTGAAAGTTATTTTGTCTTTTTTATGGTTTTTGGAAATTTTCTTCAGCATCTGCCACTACCTTTCTCTAAGATCCCTTTCTCTGTTGGTTTGGTCTTTGGCTTTCATACTAAAGATTTTCTCCAAGTATCTAGTAATCCCTCCCTGTTCACTTGTATTTAATACACCATGGAATACTATGCAGCCATAAAAAATGATGAGTTCATGTCCTTTGTAGGGACATGGATGAAACTGGAAATCATCATTCTCAGTAAACTATCGCAAGGACAAAAAACCAAACACCGCATGTTCTCACTCATAGATGAGAAGTGAACAATGAGAACACATGGACACAGGAAGAACACTCTGGGGACTGTTGTGGGGTGGGGGGAGGGGGAGGGATAGCATTAGGAGATATACCTAATGCTAAATGATGAGTTAATGGGTGCAGCACACCAGCATGGCACATGTATACATATGTAACTAACCGGCACATTGTGCACATGTACCCTAAAACTTAAAGTATATAAAAAAAAAAAAAAGAGTGAAGAAACTAAAAGACTAGAAGCTCCATGAGCACTGGCAGAGCTAAGGATCAACTGGTAAGCCTTGCTGTAGGGTGATGAGATGAAGTCCAGGAGTAGGTAAGTGCTTCCAATGAACAAAGAGCTTAGCTCAAAGGTGCCCCTTATGACAGGGCTCCCCAACTCCCAGGCAGTGGACCAGTACAGTCCATGGTATGTTAGGAACCCAGCCACAAAGAAGAAGTGGGCTGCAGGCAAGAGAGCACTACTGCCTGAGCTCAATCTCCTGTCAGGTCAGCCAGGGCCTGAGATTCTCATAGAAGCAGGAACCCTATCGTGAACTACACATGCAAGGGATCTAGGTTGTGCACTCCTTAAGAGAATCTAATGCCTGAGGATCTGAGGTGGACCAGTGTCATCGCAAAACCATCCCCTGCCTGTGGAAGAGTTCCAGGAAACCAGTCCCTGGTGCCAAAAAGGCTGGGGACCACTGCCTTACGAGACCAGGCAGCTTTTCTAAAACTCTTGAATCTTCTTACTTAGGGAATGACAGTAGGGAGATGCCAGCCTTCATGTATTCCAAGAGACAAATGGTGTTAAGAACTAGGGCTTTATCCTTCAGGACAATGACATCTTCTTAATCATTCTGTTTTCAGTCTTAAGGCTTAATCCTACCCTCTACTCTTATCCCCAGATTTCTGGTGTTCCACAGGGGTAAAGGAAGGCTAACCGTCTGGCCTAAAGAAGCAGCAAAGGTACTTGGGGGAGTTCTATTGGTTCCTTATTCAGAATTTCAAATTTCTCTACTATTTTTAGCCTTATGCCTTACTCCCTGCCTTCAAAGGTACCTGGCACCTTTGAATCTTCCCTATACTTTCTGAGTTTATATCTTTTATTCCTTGTTAGTAATTTTGGTGGGTTCCAGGGAGATAGTAGAGATAAATATATATTGTCATGTTCAAGTGAAAGTCCTTTAAAAGCAAACTATCTGAGCCACTGAAGTTACTTTTAAAATGTTAAGTTTCCCTATCTGTGTCAGGATGACTTCTTCTAGATCCTGAGTCACATCTGTGGGTTGGGTTTTGTTTGTTCATTTCACTGGTTGGTTTTCACTTGCAAGAGGAACTCTTCAGGTCAGCAAGTGTGAAGAATAATCAAATGTTTCCAAACATATCCTGCCACTTTCTGTCCCCCACTCCCACAACTAAGAAGATTTAATCTTCCAATGTAAAACTTTGGTAGATTACATTAAAAGTTCCTGAAAAGTAAAATTATTAAACATTACATGAGCCACACTATCTTGAGGTACCGTGTGATGGTTTACAAAATGTAATGAAATAGACCTATCAAAAAAAGTCATATGCATATGCTTGCCATATAACTATGTGGTTAAGGGACATCAGCTGAAAATCGCCTAAGTTTAATGCAATTTCTGAAAGCTTTACATTAAAACGTTTAAAGTGAAAGGTATTGTATTTTCATAGTTTTATTTCCAATTGTCTTCTTTCACCTAAGCTTGTAAAAGTTCCTTTAAAGAATAGACGGAAATCTTTTTTTTGGCCCTCATGAACATAGTTCCTGGAAGACTTCAATTCAAAGTTCAGTGTTAACCAACCTGGCCTTTCTTTTAAAAACTGTATGTTTCCACTTATATGAATGAAGGGAGATCCCTTCATTCCTGTTTTCTATAGAGACGTAATCATAGGTATCACATGCAAAAATCATGTGTTTGCTCATAGGTAAAAACATATAACCAACTAGTCATTCCTGTCAAAGGAACTATAAAAATAACAAATAAGTCCAGGCATGGTGGCTCACGCCTGCAATCCCAGCACTCTGGGAGGCCAAGGTGGAGGATCATGTGAGTCCAGGGGTTCAAGACCAGCCTAGGAAACACAATGAGATCCCATCTCTACAAAAAATTAGCAAAATTAGCCAGGTATGGTGGCACGTGCTTACAGTCCCAGCTACTTGGGAAGCTGAAGTGGGAAGATCACTTGTGCCAGGGGAGGTTGAGGTTGCAGTGACCCGAGGTCACGCCACTGCACTCAGCCTAGGCAAAAGAGTGAAGGAAAGTTTAAGGGTGTGTGTGTGTGTGTGTGTGTGTGTGTGTGTGTGTGTAATTTTTTTTTTAGACAGGCTGTTGCCCAGGCTGGAGTGCACTGGGGTGATCTCGGCTCACTGCAACCTCCGCCTCCCAGGTTCAAACAATTCCCCTGTCTCAGCCTCACTGCAACCTCCGCCTCCCAGGTTCAAACAATTCCCCTGTCTCAGCCTCCTGAGTAGCTGGGACTACAGGCACACACCACCACACCTGGCTAATTTTTGTATTTTTAGTACAGACAGGGTTTCACCATATTGGTCAGGCTGGTCTCAAACTCCTGACCTCAGGTGATCCACCCGCCTTGGCCTCCCAAAGTGCTGGGATTACAGGCGTGAGCTACCGCATCCAGCCCAAGCTTCAATATTTTTTAAAGTTAAGTTTCATCATCAAGCTGGTAATAGCAACTATGAGTGATATAATTATACACTGTAGATAATTCAGAACTCTTATTACACTAACTGGAAAAATTTCTCAAGCACCCAGGAACAAGGTGGCGGCTTAAAATATCGGTATGTCATTTTGTCAGCTTGTAAGCTGGAGTAATCAACATGAATGACATACATTTGCAAACTACTTTTCAAAAAGTAAGGTGGCTTCATTTGTTCTAAAGATAAGACATTCCTTCAGTGAAAGAACACAGATTGAAACACAGTCTGCAAAGACCTTATAAGGAACTGTCATGAAGAAGAGAAAAAATTCTGAAAAAATCTGATGTCACAAGCTTCAGGAGACTGAGACTAGGCTACAACTCATTTAAGCTGTTTGCTCACACAGCAGCAACTCCATGAATATATCTATGCATGGATTCTATAAGGAAAGACTATCAAAGAGAACACAAACAATTAAGAGATGAGTGTACTATTAATTACATGTACTTTAAAGCAACAAGTCTTTATTATGTACAATGACTAAACCCAAAGGTGGACAGTAAATGAAAAAATAGTCATCTAAGCTAAACAGGAAATAAGTATTCTTTAAACAGATGGATACCTGCTGTGTTCGGTGTACACACTTAACAGCCATCCACTTTTGCTCAGAGCTAAAAGGGTATTCAGCTTTTCTGATGTAGTCTTGTTGAAGTCCATCAAGACCCATCTATATGGCACAAAGAGAAAGTTAATTCTCACCTATATGTGATTATTTTTTCCTTTAACAAAGAACAAGGGTCACCACTTGTAACTAGGTTGGCTGGATTATTTTTCAGTTAATAGTGAAATAGTAAATGCTCCATCTATATATACTGTACTTCCCTACACATCAGCATACATTTTCAACATGAAAGCCCAGGTATGTAGATATAGTCTAAGGCAGGTTTTCTGGATTGTACGCTGACTAAACCTCCCATACACACTGTATTAATCCCTCTACCCACTCAAATTCTGAAAGGAAGCAGGATATAAATAAATAAAAGTACCCAACCAATTCTGAGCATGTATTTTTATGATCAATAGAAGTTTTAGATTAAATCTCTCACTTCTTAGGGACTCAAATGGCTCACCTGTTATCATCCTAGTCCCTTACCCTCTGCCACTTTATATCCTGAATACTACCAGTCATGTTGTTGTTTTCCCTCCTAATAGCGTTTGCATCAATATCAAATATCTAAATATCAAAAATATCAAAAAATATCTTCCAAATATCAAAAATGTTTAAACTACTCAAAATTCTACCATGTATTGCTTTCTACTTTCTACTGAAACATGTTCAGGCTCTTCTTGGCCTTAAAGGTTCTCCAGAAACCCACCACATACAGCGTCTATAAAAATCCTCCTGGTCGTGCAAATACGTTTCATTTCATCCAGTTTGGCCAACTCATTAGCCACAACCAACTCTATGCTCTTTTATTCCTCTCTACTTCTACTTTAGTTCATTCCCTAGCTTATCTCATCTAAACCCTTCCTATCCTTCAAAGCCCTCATATCCCAGCTCTGAATTTGCATTGTTCTTATCTTATATGTGACTCAGTGTTTAAGATTTCAGTGTCTGCTGTCTTGGACTGCCTTTTGTCTCAAGAATGTCAATATAAATTCCCTACCTAAAATGTGAGGTCTCTGCCCATAAAAAGATAGTTTCATATTCTTTATCCCTCAAAGAAACTAATATCTTTATAAGCATAACACAGGAAATACTTGATAACGGATTCATGTTTTGAGTACTATGCTGTTTTAGTTGTAAGGAGACCAAATGATACAGAAATGTGCTTTTCTGCCAAGGAAACTATATATTCTAAAACTATCAATTTTATTTCATTAAATATGTTATAATAACCTGTAATTCTGTACTGTCTCTCATTTCAAGCAACCTCATTTAGAAGCCTCTTGCTTTATACAAGTATCAAAATTTTCTCTGAATACTCTTAAAGGTAGGAATAGTTATTTTTGTTATGAGTGACAGGCTGGACTTACTAGGTTTCTCACTGAATCAAATATAGGACTTAGGGGATAAGGAGACGGATTGGGACAGATGAAAAGTTAACTGAGACTTCTTCTCCCCAAAACAAATTATAACTTCACAATCATTTTGAGAAATTAACAAAGGAGAGAAAGGAAAGACTGGGAAAACAAAGCTATTTTCTCATGACTGTGTTATTATCTTTACATAGAAATACTAAAGAATGTTGCCTTTTATTCATTCAAAAGTTAGTATTTATCAGCAATTACACACATTTATAAAGTATTTCACATGTAGATCTCAACATTGTGGAAGACAGGAACATTTCTTCACAAGAAATCAATGACTGCTCATTAGTTTGTAACTTGCATGTGAACAATAAAGTTATACTGAAAAAAGTCTATACTTTACATTTATAGGAATAAAACTGATACCTAAAAGATAGTAAAAACAATGAAATAGTATGAGTTTTTTTCACTCAATACCTAAAAACCAGTAATACTGAAATTGATGACACTGCATTCTGTTGTGAGGGCAGTGTCTCAAATGTCAAAGAAGAGAAATTTAGGTACGTACCTTCATTGCAAGAGCAATTAAGGCCCCTTCTGTTGGCTTCCCCATTAGAGTATTGTTTCTAATTACAGCATCATTGCACACACAGCCCGCCTAAGAAAAATACACATAAACTATGAACCTATCACTGTGTCTTAAGTTATTATGAAGAAAGTCACCATCTTGGAAAAAAAAATATTTACCTCAACAATTCTGCTAACAGCTGGGTTATAGAATCCATGAACAACATCACCATCAACAATCACTTCCCCAAATTGATTATAGCCAACTCCAGTAACCTAAAGATCACAAAGTGGGATCAATAATACAAACACTACAAACACTTGGTGGTGACAAGACCTATAAAACCCAAAAACTATAATGAGTTCTGTTCATTTTATTTATAATGACACTGTTAAAAGTGTTCACCTAGAAAAGCATTAAAATTTGTCTTTAAAAAGGACATTTAGTAAAGAAATATAGATTCTAATTCTCATCACAATTATTAATCTAAAAAGACATTGTTTTCTAATTACAATATACTGTTAAAAGAATAAGCTATGAAAATATACATAAGTAAGCTTAAACTTATATGACATTACACTTATATAGCATACTACAGTTTGCAAAGAACTCAAATGCATTACCATATGTAACATACAACACAAAGCTGTGACTTAGACAAAAGCAGTATTCTTTTTGCAAACATGCAGGCCTGGAGACATTGAGATATATGCTAGCACTTACAAATCACTTTAACACAGCATATTACACACCAATTTTAAAAATCAGAGGTAGAGACAAACCAGGTATTTATATCATATGTCTAGAACAAACCAAGCCAAACGAAAAGAAATTTCACAATAAAAATCATACAATTTAGTGGCCAGGTGTGGTGGCTCACATCTGTAATCCTAACACTTGGGAGGCTGGGACAGGAGAATCACTTTAGCCCAGGAGTTCAAGACCAGCCTGGGCAACAAAGCAAGATCCATCTCTATTAAAAATAAAAATAAATAAAAAATGTTTAATGACATTAATTGAGAGATAAAACAATTAACAAATAGTTAATGCATTACATATAGCATGACCTTAAAACAAAAGAAAAACTAATATTCTACCTTCCATACCTGGATCATATAAGCACATGTAATCCCAATGACCCTTCTGAATCATCCAGAAAGGGCACATTCACCAACACAGCATGGGGGATCTTTGACCAGATCTAACACCGTAAATATCAAGAGTCTCTTTTCAAAACCTATGTAAAATGGACGTAAATAAACCCAAGTACAACTTCTGTCAATTTGCCTACTGCTTATTTTTCTCAATGAATTAGCTATAAATACATTTTAAATCACTGTACCCAACATAAGTAGTGTTAAGAGCATTCCAGTCAGAAATCCTGCATAGACTGAGTAGGATTAGACCTGTCCATAAGCACCTTCAGGAAGAACTACTGCACAGTGATGTGCACTTAAGAGACAATGTATCAATATATAATTGTTAAAATAAAGTGATTCATTCATTCATTCATTTATCGAGTATTTATTACTATGAAGCAGGCTGTGTGCTAGGCAATATAGCTCCTGCTCTCTTATAATGGGGAAAAGGGACAGAAAATTTTACCTAAGATAAGGACTAAGAGGTATGAAATGCTAAGACAACATATAACATAGGGCCACTTCTGGGTGTTCTGAAGAAGTGGGTTGGAATTAAGGTGCAAAGGATGAAGAGGCATTAGACTATCCTAAACAGTGACAAAGGCAGCAAAGTTCTTAAAGTAGGAATAATTGTGTCACATCGAAAGAACTATAAAGCCAGTATACTTGGTGCACAGAAAGCAAAGGGTAGCATATAAGGGTAGAGGAGAAAATAAGGGACAGAACATGTACGGCTTTGAGACGCCACAGTTCAGGATCCTGATCACAATGGAAAACCATTGGAGTACCTTAATTTATGGAGTGACATGCTTAAAATTTGGTTCTAAAAAGATCCCTCAAACTGCTTATGGAGTGAGGGCATCAAGAATGGAAAAAGACCAGTCAAAAAGCTTTATCAGAATGGCAGGTGAGAAATGGCGGTAACTTAAAGAAGCTGGCTATAAAGTAGATGGCTGGGAAAATTCTTTAGGAAGTCAAAATTGGTAGGATTTGATTATGGATAGATGAAGGGGTGACTGAAAGAGAGATGTCAAGGAGGAATCAAAGTTTTTGGATTGAACAAGTGTACAAGTGGAATGAGACAAAGACTTGGTAAAATCACAGAGAGAGAAAATAACTCCACTACTAATTTACAGCCCTTTTGAAGGTAAGACACTGGAACTGTTAGGAATGTTAAACACCAAGTTTCTTAAAGGGATACTGTTTTTGTTTGTTTTTAAAAACCTATAGAGTACCTCAGCATGCAGACCATCTGAAGTAAATATGTGAGTAACAGTCATTTCATTCTTCGTCAGTGTTCCAGTTTTATCTGAACAAATCACATTACAGCAGCCTAAAGAATTAAATCATTACAAGTCACCAAAAGAATCAAGGAGAAATATAGGTTCACTTAAAAAACAAATCAAAGACTAGAATCCTGTCCTACTTCTCTGAATTTTATAGAAATCAAACTCATTGTTAATTTTAGATTAACTTCTCTCATTATGCTTGTTTCAGCATAAGGTACAGTTTCTGAAATTAAAAATAAAAATTAGATGATGACATGTTCTTATTTATATACAGTTAGTTTCTACAAAGCTACTTCACATTAGCTTTATGTAATGATCTTATATAACATCTTTTCTAGAAAGTTTGGAGAGTTTCTAAATATAAACCCGTATAATTTCTTCAATCAGGATTTTTCAAGGTATTTCAGCTTCTCATATATGGAGAAGATATTAAAATACAAACTAGAAATTAAATTCAGTACATTTTTGGAGTTTCAAAGCATATTGCACATAAAGTTTTGTTACAGCAATATAACTACTGTAAATTTACTGTTCTTACAGGCAAATTCAACTCAAGTATGACATTTGGGATCTGTAATAATACATTATCTTCTTTGACATGTCACAAGAAAAAAATTCTATTAATTTTACTCCAAGATTTCAGTTGTTGTATGGATTTTCTTAACATGATTTGTGCATTAGAACATGATGTAGAAAGATTTCTCTTCAAGTCCCCTCACCTAAGGGATAGGAATTTTTAATTGCCTTTTTTGGTTGTTAAAACCATATCCAATTTTGCCATAAGCCAAACATCATTATGCAAATCTCTAAGATAAAAACTGTAAAACTCTGAGATGATTCACTATTGACATAAACTTACGCATCATTGCATAAGAATGCTCTTAACACAGACTTACCCAGAGTTTCAACAATAGGCAGCTTTTTCACAATGGCCCTTTTCTTCACCATTCTCATAACACCAAGAGCTAGCGTCACTGTGACCACAATGGGGAGACCTTCAGGAATTGCTGCTACAGCCAAACTATAACCAACATATACAAAGTATTAAAATGTAGGTTAAACAGCACTCACAGCAAAATTTAAATTGGATGTTACTTAAAGCTTAATAAAACGCAAAATTAATATAGTCAATACCTAAAAAATAAACTTCTCAAAAGGAAGAGAAAGTTAACATTTACTGGATACCTAGTAGCTGCCAGGTTAAGCACAGTGGTTAAAAAATGTAGGTTCTGACATCAAATTGCCTGGATTTGTATCCCTGGCTTCACCATCTCTTACTTGTGTGATCCTGGGCTACTTACTAATCTAGCTCTGTAGTTTACTGTCCTCATCTATAAAATACAGATAACTACAAATGTTCAAACAAAAACTCATACATGAATGTTCACGGCAACACTATTCACGATAGCCAAAAGATGGAAACAGGCCAAATATTCATCAACTGATAAATGTAAAATTGTGACATCCATGCAATGGAGTATTACTTTAGCCACAAAAAGGAATGAAGTACTAACACATGCTACAACATGAATAAACCTTGAAAACATTATGCTAAGTGAAAAAAGACAGATACAAAAGGTCCCATATTATATCATTTCATTTATATGAAATATCTAGAATAGGCAAATCCATAGAGATAGCAGATTAGTGAGTGGTTGCCAGGGACTAGGGGAAGAGGAAAACTGGGGAGTGACTGCTTAATGTGTACAGGGTTTTCTTCTGGCATGATGAAAAGGTTCTGAATCTAGATAGCGGTTAACAGTTGTAAAACATTGCGACCATACTTAACTCCACCAAATTAACTCTTTAAAACTGTAAATTTTATAATATGCGTATTTTATCACAGTTTAAAGAATTATTTCACTCGCCTTTTATAATTAAAAAATAACAAGTCTTTCTTTGTGCCATTCCAAATACTATTTCTTGATCTGCTAGAAATAAGGACATAAGCAATTTAACCCTTCATTCTACCACTGTTCCCTCTGCTGCTTCTACTTCCTAATTTCCATTACCAACTTTTTCTTTGCATAATCTAGTACATTAGCATCCTTTTCTATAACCGTAATTGACTTTTTCATGCTTTATTTACTGGTTGATTTTAAAGTTGAAAGCACATAAGCAACAACATTATTGGCTAAACAATACACACTGAAGAGTCAAGAAATATGTATTATCATTAATACTTCCTTTTCTCCTTTGGGCTACTCAAAGAGAATGTTCCTAGTTCAAATGGAATCCTTTTTTTTCTTTTTTCTTTTCTTTTTTTTTTTTTTTTTAATGCTTCCATTAAGGAAAAACAGGCATTATCACTTACAATCTAGATACAACGAATCTTTTCAATCTTTTATATTTAAGTCATCTTAGCAAAACTTTGCAGAGGAATAATTAAATTGTAAAAAAACTTCACTCTAAATTTTCATTTTAATGATAACCCAAAACTATTCCTGGACTTGAAGGCATCTATACCTGAAATGGGTAACATCTTTTGGATGCAACTAACTGCTCATCTACTGCTTTTGGTGAACTTGGAACATATTTATCTTATAAATATTGATTTCAGATTTCAAAAAATATTTCTAACAGGCGCTAGCTTATTAATCTAGTTCTTCTTTCTTGCATTTGTTCTGTCAAATTGCAACACTTCTAAAACCACTGATGGCTCCCAATTGTGTTGAAAAGAGAACAGTTATCTTCTTTGGTCCATGACTGCAAAACATTTTCAATTTTAGATTTATAAACACCAATTACAATGATGAATCCAATGAATTTTTCTACTTCTGCATAATCTATTTCCTTTTAATCACTTTTATATTCATACCAGCCTTCAGCATTTCTCCACTTAAAAGCAGTATGAAGTCAATGCTGATAAACAAGCATCATAAAAGATGAATGAAATAGGGTCATGCATTCGTTTAGCTAAAAGAGATGGTCCAGATTCTTGCTGAAAACTACTACATGATAGAGTCCTTGCTGCAGAATGATTAACTGGAAGAGAATACCTGTTTCTTTTTTGTCCTTAAAAACAGATTGCTCACTCATCAAAATTAAGGTGTTTGAGAAGATCTAGAGTATCATCATCCAAAGACTCAGTCTTGAGATTTCACTTATATTATTAATTTCACCCACATCATTACGGCCTACAGTGCTTCTATTTGGCTCTTTGCACTGATCTTCTGATTTGTCTAATAATTGTGAAAAGTCTTCTCTGTCAATTATTCTCTTTGCCATTATAGTAGAAAGTGAAAAATTCTGAATTCTCATTTTTGTTCAATGAAAGCTGTAACAAACAAACCTAAAGATTGTGCCTTTAGACTTCTTTTACACCTTCTTAAATGATGCAATACTTTAGGCAACACAATAAGAAAACTAAAGAATAAGAGAATAGTGATTATTTACTTTATTATTACATCAACCTTCTCAATGATTCCATCATTTTTCTGCTTTCTTATTGTTTTAGTCATCTTCAGCACTCTTGCAAATAATTGTTAAAATAATTCCTAGGGTGAAGAAATTGTAAAATACTTCAAGAAAGAGGAAAAATAGGATCATTAAAGGTCCCATAATGTAGCTTATACTTATAAAAGATTCCAATGGATCCATACTGCAAAACAGAATTGCAAAATAGAATGAGTTTTATTCTATTTGAAAATTTTTAAGTATCTTGTCCTTTGGAAGACCTTGAAGAAAGAACAGAAGTTATGATATGTCAATCTGTACAAACAGAACTCAAAAAAAAAAAAACCCAAATCCTCAAAAACTAAAAATGATCCAATGGATAATATGTCAATGTTTAATATCTCAAACTTATTCCCCATTTTAAATGTATTTTATATTTAACCCATGGCGTTTTTAAACACAAATTTAAACCAAGAGTTTCAAATTGCATTTTCACCCCCTCCCTTGAGAAAAAAAAAAACACATTCTTTCACTATATCACAAATATCTTTTTACTTCTTATTCATTCTGATTCCTTGTAATCTATTTGACTTTTCTTTTTGAAAGACATTGACTTTTGTTCTAATATTTGAAATATTTCATATGCCTACAACAGAGGTCTACCAGGATTTCTTTTTCTTAGATGCCTAAGTAAGTTCTTGCCCTTTCTTATGTCTATTATCATCTTCCTTTCTTTCACCCTTGTTTTGCTGGAATTCATATAAGGATGGGTAGGAAATGAATGTTCTGAGTACTTGCCTACCTATTTGTCACTAATTGGACCAATCCTTTGGCTAGGCCCAATTTACAGATTTATGATCAATTGCCCCCCTAATTTGTTACCACGGCTCCACTTATTCTAATGCAATCTGATGTTGCTGTGGATGAACAGTTAATAAAATAATCTTCCCCTTCTGGATTTGATTAACTCTAGTTCTGTTCACCTAGTGACCTGGTAAGAATAATATGTCAAGTATGCTGCTAGATAACACTGCTATGATTAAGGGATCCCCTGACTAATAAAATCTCTCTGGACTAGGAAAGTTATAATTATCTTATAGGAAATCATAGCTTTGAGTTTCTCAAGTGTAGTAACTTGTAACTAGACATGTCCTTTGCAGGCATCTGGAAATGCATGTTTCAAAATACGTCTCTCATAGAACACGAGATATTTTAACCCAAGGTAGATCCCACACTCACAAGGTTGACCTTATCTCCTTGTACTTGAGTGAATTGCTACATGGACTGCTGCGGACTCTCAGGAGAAGGCTGCCTGAAGTTACCCTGCTGTGTTCAGGGCACAGGTATCAGATGTGGTCTGTGAAAGTCTTGTGAGTTGGAATGTTTAGAAGAACCCAAAAAGATCCTGTGGTAGAAACTGCAGTTGCTAATGAGAAGTCTGATGCCAGCGTAGTTACCCTTCCTTTGTAGATGACCTGACTTTTCTTCTTTAGTTTCACAATTATGTATCAAGGTTGAAGTTTTTTCCATTCTGCTTGGTATTTAGTGAATCCTTTCAATCTATAAAGACTTACTTTTTGCCTTAGCTTGAGAAAATACTTGTGTGTCATATCTTATGTAATTTTTGAAACTCCAATTAGTTACAAGTGGTATTTCCTGAAATTATTCCTCTTCATCATTTTATCTCATTCTAAGACTTTTTACTCTTTTTGGGGGGAGACCTCTTTGAATTTA
This sequence comes from Homo sapiens, assembly GCF_000001405.40. Lineage (NCBI taxonomy): Eukaryota > Metazoa > Chordata > Mammalia > Primates > Hominidae > Homo > Homo sapiens. The sequence goes on along the minus strand of NC_000003.12, from coordinate 130,959,861 downwards.
TATTACACCCCTACAATTGAATTTTTAATTTCAACAATCATAATCTTAATTTCTAAAAACTCTTTTTGTTCTCTGATCCTTTTCTACAACAATTTATCTCATGGATGCAGTTTCTTCACAAGTCTCTGAAAATACAAACACTTGGTTTTTAAATTTGTCATCATTTCTTCAATGTTTCGTTTTCCTCTGAAATTGATTATTCAATTTCTATATTGTGAACTTTCTCTTTCATGTTGCTAGTTTTCAATTTGACAATCCTTAATTGTATATTTATATATAAAAAGGCAATAATGCATTAGTAATTCCAGACATCTAGTATGGGTTTTCTTCATTACCATATACATACATTTTCATTTTTCTAAGGATAATTTTAATATATGACTTCTGAACTATTTATGTAGCGATGTTATACTCTTATGGGCTCCATGTAATACTGATCTCCATAATAAAACGTAAGCTATGTCCATTAGAGAAATAAAAGAGGCAAAAGAGACTCCAATTATAAAGTATTGAGACTTACCTTACACTAATAGTAAACATTTCCAGGATATCTTTTCCCAGTAACCAGCCAACCAACATGATGATTCCTGAAAGATAATTAAATAGTTATTTTTCCCTTTTACATACAATCACCTAGAAGGAACAGAACAAGCTGAAGGAATCTAAAACGTCCCTTGACAAAAAAGGGAAAGCATATCAGATCACAATTAGAAGATTTTATAAAAATCCATTAAACAGGGGAGGTTAAAGTTAACACTGCTTAATGTGAATGCTGTGCATACTCACATACGTACATGTGTGCACACACACACCACACATGCACACACACACACAGTTTTACTTTTGGTTGACACTGCTCCTACCATCCCTTAAAGCAGTAATATTTTATTATTTTTTTAAAAATTACCAGTATGTTCATACAATGAAAAAAAGAAGGTGGCAGCAAACATATAGGTCTTCTATTTAATATCAAATATGCAAAATTAAACCCTAAAACTTTATTTTCCATAACACAATATCCAGACACTTCTCAGCAAATCCATACTACACACAAAGGGACACTTACGACTTGGCTCAAAAAGTGATGTGCCTTACGTTAAGCACCTACAACTGCATTAACATCTAAAAATCACTACTTTTATGGCATTTCAAAAATTTAAAAATCAATTAAACCAATACTCCTTGCTTTAACCTTTTATCTTTGAAAAGAATAGGGGGAAAGGGGCGCACAAGCAGGTTTGTGAGGAAAAAGCAAACAGATTCACGAGAGGTTTGATAAAATAAGCTATCTCAAGACTGCAAATCAATATGAACATTTAAGACAAGTTTTTTTTTTCATCTTTATATAACTAAAGAATAATTATCCAAATAGCAACCTTCTAAGATCCTATCCCAAATACTATCATGATGAAAGAAATTATGTCCAAAGGATTATACCAGGGGTCAGCAAACTATAATCTGTGGGTCTCCTGTCTGCTTAGGTAAATGAAATTTGTTGGAACATAGCCACACTCATTTATTTACATATTTTCTATGATTGCTTTCATGCTAATGGCAAAGTAAAGTATTTCCAACAGAGACCATATGGACTAAAATATTTACTATCTAGTTCTTTACAAAAAACAAAAAAAAACAATTGCTGACCCCTGATCTAGCTCTTGACCTTGGCAAGAAAAATTATGTCCAATGTAATATACTAACATATAACCAGAGATCGTAAAGTTGAAACATATTTATTACTAAATTTGAAATGGTTTATGGTATAGTGCTAATAGAAACTACAAAGATTTAATTGGCTAGAATGTCATTCGATCTATCAAATTCACTATAAAATTTCTAGAAAATGAGCAATAATCAAACGGAAGAAGTTATGAGGGCATACACACCAGTAAAACAAAAATAACTAAGATAACTTCCTACCTTCTACTTTATGTTTACAATGAAGATAGATGGATAAACAGAATTACTATTTACAAAGTTATTTCAACTAATATTGTATTAACAGAAATATTGCTTTAAAATTGCATTAGTCCTGTAATCCCTGCACTTTGGGAGGCTGAGGTGGGCAATCACATGAGTTCAGGAGTTTGAGACCAGCCTGGCCAATGTGGTAAAATCCCGTCCCTATTAAAAATACAATAAAAAAATTAGCCAGGTGTGGTGGTGCACACCTGTAATCCCAGCTACTCGGGAGGCTGAGGCAGGGAAATCACTTGAACCCCAGGAGGTGGAGGTTACAGTCAGCCGGGATTGCGCCATTGCACTTCAGCCTGAGCAACAAGAATGAGACTCCATCTCAAATAAAAAAATTGTATTACTGACTTTGAAATACTAAACTAGCTGGAATAATTAACACGGTAAGAAAATTAAAGGAGAAAAGACTCCAAAATTAATGCAAGTGCTTAATGTGTGATAAAAACGTGACTTCAATCCAATGAATAAAGACTGGATTACAGAATTAATGGGATAATTAACTTGAGTAAAAAAGTTAAAACTCTGCCTTAAGCCATGTACTAAAATAAATTTTAAATAAAATAGTAAAATGTCAAAAATAAAAAACTATACAACAATGTTTTAATAAATGTTCTTATAAACATGAGGTTGGGAAAATCTTTAGGAACAGAACAAAACCAACTTAATTGCAGAGATTATCAATAGGAGGGTGATAACAGAATCTCAAGGAAAAGGGGATGTTTTAACCCATTTGTGTCTGAGGTTGCAATTTTTTGAATTTTTGCAACCAGACCTTGGCAATGACCTTGAGCAGTAGGATATAAATAAGTCCCACATGCTTAGCATTCCAATAATGGAACACTAGGCATAAATGGTTAATTACATATATTGTCCTCTTACCAAGTTTATTCCACATGCCTCAAAGGCAACTTAAACGGGAAAAAAAAACTTATACAACAAAAAGATTGATAATCTAGTCATATAAAAAGCTTTTATCAATCTAAGACTCAAGACACAAGAAAAGGGACAAAAGAAATCGTTGGCAGGTCATAAAATGAAATAAAAATGATCAACCCACACATGACAAAGCATTCGGTTTCCCTAATAATGAACTGTGAAATCAAATAATGAGAACTCTTTTATTTACAGTTGAAGTTAATGACAATACTTAAAGCTGGCCAAAAATTTAAAAGTTACATGGATCCCCTTTGACTAAATAATTTTATTTCTAAGAATTTTTCCTTAAAAAAGAGAGGTATTTACCAGAAGACACCACACTAAAGAAGTATTTATATGACCAAAAAAAAACCCTCAAAAAATCCTAAATGTCTAGAAGAGGTCTTCTTATATGTTTTCCCACAAAATAGAAAACTATACAACCTTTATGTTTGTTTTATGTGACCATCAATTTAATGACAAGAGTTTTATGACAGGATATGTGAAATAAAAATAGAAAAGCAGTCCATAAAACTATCGTATTACATTCTTGTTGAAGACTAGAAAGACAAATACTAAAATGTTTCAAGAAATATTTTCTGATTACAAGAATCAGAGTTCTATTTTTTCTTTGTTGAAATGAACAATGGCTACTAGTAGTCTTATAATTTTAAAAAGTATTAAACTTAATAAAAAAAAGAAAAGCCAATAAATAAAACTAGAATACCACCACCCTTCACATTCAAAAAACAAAACTCAAATAAAAATATATACATACTCACTCTTCTCTTACCTATTATACCAAAGGAGTAAAAGGAAAGTTGTTTTCCTAAGAGGTCCATGCTCTTCTGCAGAGGGGTTTTTGGTGCCTTGATAAATTGAAGAAGAGTGTCACCACAATTAGCTATATTTACTAAGCTTTATCAAGTGCCAGGGGCTTGCTAAGTGCTTGACAAAGCAATTCCTAAGTTAACCATACAACTCTCCCATAAGGTAAATAATCACCTTCACTGAGAAAACTGAGACTTAGATTTTACACAATGCCCAAGGTCACACAGTGAGGAACAGAAATTCTCTATTTTTAAAAACCTGTTTATTATTTGAAAAGGTCCGTTCTCTCTATGCTTCCTTTTGAGGAAAAATCTGTTCTCCCTCCTACCAACCACTGCAGGACTTCATTACCATCAGCTGCTCTCTCACTTGCTTTTCCAATTTTTCCCTTTTGGTATCCACAAACATGCTAGTAACCCAGGTCTTTTAATCCTCCCTCAACTGCTAACCCTCTTCTCTATTCATCCCTTCACTGCCACGCCTCTTGGAATGAGTTCCCACTTTGCATCGCATACTGGAGTTTTGGCAGGTTACCTGAGAAATCCAGAGGATTTGGGGAGAACACGACATTTGCAGAATGAAGCTTCTTTTTATAATAAGAAAGTATTTAAAATGAACTCATCTTTAATACTTTTAGCCGAGAATATCTTGTAGGTTATTTTACTTGGCAATCTTTTCCCTGCCACCCTTACTTGGAATTATGTGAAGTTGAAAAAATTTGATAGAAGACATATTCCAAGGTACAAATATACTAATTACTAATCCTTAAAATTACCACAACACTAATTTCTGAAAATAATAAGATCTACAAATAAGTGGCTATAAGCCTTTTTCTGCTATAAACAATGAGTAAAGCTCAAAATCCTTTAGAATACTAACAACATCAATTTAGACCTTTTCAATTACAGGCTTTCCAATTATGTTTCTAAACAGAGACAACTGATTTCCATTCTGAATAAAATATTGCTCTCAATAGTATATAAAATAATCCAACATTCTCTACTTACAATGAAGAATTTCAGATTTGGAACAAATACATCATTAACATATTAAGTACTCACCTCTTCTGCTTGCATCATTTTAAAAACCTCCCCAAATTCAGAATTTTCTCCTGTTCCAATGACAACACCCTAAGGGGAAAAACAGGAAAATACATTTACATCCAGATGAAATGTAAACCAAAACACATACACACACACATCCAACAACTTTCAAAGTCTTACCTACAGTGAAGATGTCTAACATACACACTCCTAAGATTTCCTCAGCAAATTTACTTTTTTATGTTCCTGTCATTAGCATTTGCCCCTTATGATTTAAACTCTGGAAACAAACATTACATTAAACGTATTGCTGGCCGGGTGCTGTGGCTCACGCCTATAATGCCAGTACTTTGGGTGGCCGAGGCGGGTGGATCACTTGAGGTCAGGAGTTCGAGATCAGCCTGGCCCACATGGTGAAATGCCATCTCTACTAAAAATACAAAAAATTAGCCAGGCATGGTGGGACATGCCTGTAATCCCTACTACACAGGAGGCTGAGGCAGGAGAATCACTTGAACCTGGAAGGTGAAGGTTGTAGTGAGCCAAGATCACGCCACTGCACTCCAGCCTGGACGACAAAGTGAGACTCCGTCTCAAAAAAAAACGTATAGCAGACTCAATTCTGAGGCCTATTTTTTGCCTATATTAGTATTTCTGAAATACAAACATGTATTATACTCAATAGGAGACATTTAATATAGTTTCTTTTTACCCCTAGTGAATGGTGTCTTTTGCACTGGTGGAGTATCAGAATTCAGGAAAGGAAGCATTTGAAATCGATCAACAGGTGAACAACATATAGTCAGATTATTATAGCCAGTATCATATTAACTAAATTAAAATTTATTTAATAATAAACACATCCATGAAAACACTGTTTCTCTCTTTAAAAAGAAACAGGTATTGAGGATTATCCATTATCTGGGAAATAGCAGAACTACGGAAATATTATACTTTGGGGACACAGATTCTCCCCAGTTTCACAAATAGATGTAATGGGTTAAGTTCAATTTTATCCTTTGTCATGTATTTGAAAAATTCCACATAAAATCAGCAAAAAATAATTGAGAAAATAGTTTCAAACAAAGGAACTGCTTTTTTCAAATCAGGAAAAAAATTTACCTTTGCTTTGCCACATCTGACCAGTGTTCCCATAAAGGCAATGTTACTTCTCGATGCAAGATCTCCATTAGTTGCAGCTGGCTGAGGAGCTGTCACCTTAGAACAAGGCGTTGTCTCACCTGTCAAGCTGGACTCATCAATGGAAAGATCCACAGCCTTAGGGAACATAAAGAATCCCAGATTCAAATTTTGTGCTACATTTAACATCTCTAGAGTTCATAACCATCATCACTTCTTCCTCAAACATCCCTTTTCCATTGATTAGCCACATCTTGTATCAAAACCATCACTCTAAAAGACCAGAATCAGTACAATCATATTTTAAAATACAATTAAGTCAACAAAATCTAAGACATGCAAAGTAGAATGCTGTACCATGAGACTAGATTAGCCTAAAATTGAAAATACAACTAGGAAAAATTTGACACTAGCTAAGACTCAATCTTCATCTAGAGAAAACTCAACTTTTCATGACAAAATATTATTTCCTAATTTTGTCAAGTACCTAAAGTTCTGGAAATATGGCTTGGCAGATTAAAACCATCGACGATGACTGAAAGTGATAAATGAATAAAGGGGAAAAATGTTACTTAGAAATCATTTCATCATTTTGGAATCAATTTTCATAAAATCATTATTGTTATACATGCCGTTTATTCCAAATTACAATTTGCAAGACTCAAAAATGTATACAAATGCTTTCATGCAGATCATAACTATCATAATATCTTCCAACTCTGCAACAGGGCTCAGTTTTGAAGGCTTCACTCCTGACACAGTATTTACCTACCCAAGCATACAGAAAAAAGAAAAAAAAAACAATTTTATGAGTATAGATACATACACACATACATACATATATACATACATACATACATACATACATACATACATACATACGAACAAGTGAGGGAGAGGACTAGGGCCAAGTAAGTCAGAAATAGTTAAGAGTTAAACAGCTTCCTCTACTGCAGTGCTCTCAAAACCTTCAATACATTAACATGAATCACCTCAACAGGAATACAGATATACAGCAAAGCTTCTGAAAGGAGGACAGCATCACATCCACTACCTCAGAACTTGTTAGAAGTTAAGAGTCCTTTGCTCCACCTCAAACACAGGGTGGAAAAAGTAAACCTAACAGACAGTATTTACAAGCCCTCCAGGTGATTCTGTTGCAAATTTCCATCCATTTTATTCCAGAAGCATTTATTCAAGGGTCCTTAGGATACTCTGTAAGAAACTAGGAATTAGTTCATGACTTTACTGATTTTACAGGCTCATTCATTCACCCAACAAACATTTACTGACTATCAGTGTTAGGCACTGAGCAAGCTCCTGGTAAGAAAACAGGATAAATTACTGCACAGTATCACTGATATTTTAGGCTGAGTCAGTATTCTCAATCAGGCCTTTCTTAACTCTCAGTTCACACTATGTACCAAGTATTCTAAATTTAAATCTTCTTTTTCTTTTCTTTTGGTGGGGGGTGAAAAGTTATAAATTACATCTTTTCAAATGGTTCACTTCTGAGCATAAAAACCTCAAATAACCTCACGTAAAATGATTATTAAAAATTGGTTCACAGAATCTTCATCTCCTCAACAAAACTGTTTTAATTTGATCAACAACATTCCTACATTCACTTAACAAATATTTATTACTGCTTACAATGTGCCAGGCCCTGTGCTTTATCATACACAGTAGGATAATCAGCAGTGAATGAAACAAAGTTTCTACCCTTGGATATTAATGGGAAAGTGATTTTAAACAAGCACGAGTATATAACATAATGCCAGGTAGAGGGAAAACAACAAACATAATAAAGATAGAGCCACATTTTAGAAGAAAACATTCCCCAAAACCAGGTAATCCTCTGCAGAGCCCTGACAGACCTGAGAGCTCCAAGGCTGGGCCATAATTAGGGAGAGTGGATTTCATGTAAAGGCAACAAAAAGTACAAAGACCTTGGGGACAGGAACATGCTTGGTGTGTTTGTGTGTTAGGCAAACATAACTGCAAAAATAACAGTTTACAATAGGTTGTTAAGTTTTAAAATATTCATCATGAAAATAAATATAACTCCAAAGAGACAAAATTGTGCTAGCATTTCCCAGAAGTTTAGATAATATGACAGTGGAATGCATTTTAGTATCAAAATAAGCTTACAAAAATTATTCTTTAAAATACAGATCAATAGTCATTTAGACTTTAAAGGATTTTGCATTTAACATTAATTGTGTATACAAACACAAACCAGTTAATAAATCTGAGTTCATTACCTTAACGCAACTGAAGATTTAAAAAACACCTGTCATGTTCAAAGGCAAGTGAATTTTTCTTTATTAAAGAAACATATTTATTTGACTTTTATTTCCACGTTAACCTTGGAACTATTTAACTTTTCACACTAACACATTTATTAGCAAGGTAAGAGAAACAAATCTTAAAATGGGCCCTTCTTCAAAGATAATGCCAATACTAAAAATCAGCTGACATTTCATTGCTTACCATCTGCTAGGCACTATGCTACATATCTATGCTAAATTATCACATTTAATCCTACTAACAACTCCTATGAGGCAAGTAATTACTATTATTATCTGTTTTACAGGCACTGAAAGGTTAAGTAACTCATCCAACGTTATAGAGGTACAACACTATGCAGATAAAATTCCAGTGTTGAAAGACTTTAACTCCAGATTCCTCTTAATTATTTAGAGGATCAATCTGCAAATTATTTCTCCTCCCCAATTTTGTAACCACTTATAGAAAAAGACAGTATAACACATAAAGCAAAGATATGTAAAAAATTATGTATTATCTGAATTACAAGTAAATTTATATAAGGTTCATTTTATTTAGCAAGCTCATATTTAATGCTTGTTACAACAGTCAGAGTTGCACGTAACTTTCCAAGATCTTAATTAGGAAAGAGACCCACTAATATTTAAAAATACTTGTAGAAATTTACAGAATTCCTTCTGTAAGAGAAGTAAAACTCATGTTTTCCCTTTGAAGACTTTTGCTTTAAATGTAAATCTTAAACATGGATAAATACTAACATGAAGTGACTAACAGAGAAGGAATTTTTTTTTTTAATCTGTTGTTTTTAAAAAGAGAAAAGCATGATTTCATGGCTCTGTCAGCAACCTAGCTCTTTGGTTTCAGCCTCAGAACAACAATCACTTAAGAGAGCCCTTGTCTGGTGGAACAGACAAGCTGATGTGGAAGAAAAAGGAGCTCAGGACCCTAATTTTTTCCTATATCATTATAAATTTGCAACTAAAACTCAAATGATCATGAAATTTGTCTAAATCTTACAATGTCCCAATCTGCAAAGATTTCAACTATCTGTTGAATACGAATACTTTCTAAGTCACAAGTTATTTTCTCTTAATAGTGATTGCAAGAGTTTTCCTAGGAAGTAGTTTTGAGGGAGTAGAGGGAAAGAAAAGGTGGAATTTAATAAATTAGGCAAGCCTATTACAGTTTAATAAAGTCACAATTTAATTCGTCTGAGAAGAAAGATATTAGAGTCATTATTCATTGCATTCATGAGAGAGGGAAAGGTAGGATAAAGTGAAATCAAAGAATCAGGCAGCCCCATGACAGCCAGCCAGAAGTTTAAGTATTAAACCCTCAGAAGACCTGTTAATGAACAAGAAAACTGATTTTCACTTTCATTCTTCTTCAAGCAGTCTGGTGGAGGTGTGAATATGCTATAAAACAGTTCAAAAATCAGAATATAAATAAGAATCAAGACGACTATATAATCCACAGTCTAAATATTTAACATGTACACAATAAAAATGATTGGAAAATTCACAAGATTATTATTCCCATAAAACACTAGAGAGAAAGAAATCAAATGCCAGTCACAAAGGTTTCCTGAAAGGCAGAAAGTACTTTTAAAAATTCAGGTTAATATGGAACAACTGGCAGCTACAAATAAGTTCTTAAGCTAAAGAACGGTTTGACATACGGTACACTGATAAGGCAATCACCTCTCGAGTCTAGAATTAAAAGCAAATCATTAAAATGCAGATTAGAAATGGATTTCTCTCCCCAGAAAACAATCTTCCAAAATATTCACCTGTAGCTGCCTGATCATGATAAAATTTCTTACTTCTGTTCTCAAAAATTAACATACCTCACTGTTTATGCAAATGAAGAAAAATGTAATTTAAAATCTTCATGTATTTAACTTACTAACACTCAAAGCCAAACCAACCAAGTGTTATGTTACGTATTACTGAAAACGATATATGAAATTAATTTTATCCCGTGGTAGATGCTTACATAAATTGCTAACTTTCTGATTCGAGTATACAGAAAGTTATTCAGAAGATACAGCTGTTTCATCTACATTGAAAATGTTCGGTACAACCACCTTCCTCAATGATCTTAGCTACATCTTCTGAATAACTTGCTGCAGCTTCTCCATCAACATCTGCTGCTTCATCTTGCACTTATATGTTACAGAGATGGCTTCTTTTCTTAAACCTCACGAACCAATCTCTGCAAGCTTCAAACTTTTCTTTGGCAGCTTCCTCACTTCTCTCGGCCTTCACAGAACTGAAGAGAGTTAGGGTCCTGCTCTGGATTAGGTTTGGTTTAAGGAAATATTGTGGCTGCTTTTATGTTTTATCGAAACCTTTCAAACTTTCTTCATATCCACAATAAGAATGTTTTACTTCTTATCATTTGTGTGTTCACTGGAATAGCACTTTTAATTTCAAGAATTTTTTCTTTGCATTCACAACTTGGCTAATTGTTTGAGGCAAGAGGCCTAGCCTTCAGCCTATCTTAGCTTTTGACATGCATTCCTCAGTAAGCTTAATCATTTCTAGCTTTTGACTTAAAGTGAAAGACATGCAATTTTTCCTTTCACTTGAACACTTAAGAGGCCACTGTAGGGTTATTAATTGGCTTAATTTCCATATTGCTGTTTCTCAGAGAACAGGAAAGCCCAAGGAGAAGGAAAGAGCAGTCGGGCAGAGCAGCAGTAGAAAACACGCAACATTTACTCATTACATTTATAGTCTTACATGAACATCGTTAATGATGCCCCAAAACAATTTTAACAGTAACAGCAAAGATCACTGATCACAGATCACCATAATAGACATAATATTGAAAAAGTTCGAAATACTGTGAGAATTACCAAAATGTGACACAGAGATACAAAGTAAGCACCATGCTGTTGGAAAAATGGTGCCAACAGACTTGCCTGACACAGGGTTGCCACAAATCTATTAATATATTTTTTTAAATGCATTATCTTTGAAGCATGATAAAATGAGGTATGCCAGTACAATCTCAGAAGGAAAAAAGAGAAGGCGACAGAAAGAATAGCTGAAGATAAAATGGCTGAAAACTTCCCCAACTTGATGAAAGACATAAATCTACACAACCAAGGAGCTCAATGAAATCCAAATATAATAAACTCAAAGATATCCACAATTAAACACATTATAATCAAACCATTGAAAGATAAAGACAGAATCTTGAAAACAGCCACAGAAACAACTTATCACATAACAGAATTTTCATTAAGATTAATAATCCTAATCAGAAACCACAGAGGCCAAAAAGAGCAGACATTTATAATATTCAGAAAAAAAAAACTGTCAACCAATAATTTTCTATCTGGCAACATTATCTTTTAAAAATGAAGGAGAAATTTTTAAAATCCTAAATAAACAAAAGCAAAAAGAGTTCATCACTAGTCAGACCTGACTCATAAGAAATGCTAAGAGACAGCCCTTTAGGCTGAAATAAGAAAGTAGAAAGTAACTCAAAGCCATATGAAGACATAAAGAATTCCAATGAAGCTAACTATGTAGGTAAACATAAAAGTCAGTATTATTGTATGTTGAGTTCGTGACTCCTGTGTTTGCTTCCTATATAATTAAACTTATAAATGCATAAAATGCTTATAAATCTATATTAATGGGCACAGAATGCATAAAGATGTCATTTGCAAAAATAACAAAGATGAGGGAGGTGTGGGCTGTACGATTTTGTATGCTACTGAAGCAAAGTTAGTATCACTTCAAATAGATTGTTATAAGATTAGGATGTTCATTGTAATCCACATATAATCACTAAGAAAATAAGTAAACAGTATGCACAGAAAATAATTTGAGGGAATAAAAAAGGTACATCAAAAAAAATCAATTGGAGGGGCGTGGAAAAAAAACAAAGAAGGGCACAAAGGAGAAACTGAGGAACATAAAAAGATAACACAAATAGAAAACAAGTAACAACAGAAGTCCTTTCCTATCAGTAATCACTGTAAGTGTAAATGGATTAAATTCACCAACTATGTGATATAAATCCTTACAATGGAAAATTATTTGGCAGTAAAAAACAATGACATACATGAATGAAGTACCTAAAAACATTACATTAAATGAAAGAGGCCAGACATAAAAGACTACATATTGTATGATTCTACTTATATGAAATGTCCAGAATAGGCACATGTATTTCAGTGGCAAGCAGATTAGTGGCTGCTAGAGGCAGGGAAAATACAGAATGAATGCTAAGAGGTAAGGGTTTTCCTTTGAGAGTGATGAAAATGCTCTATAATTAGACTGTAGTGATGGGTGTACAACTGTGAATATACTGAAAACCACTGAACGATACACCTTAAATGTGTGAACTGTATGATATGCACATTATATCTCAAAAAAGCTGTTTTAATAATTTTTTTTTTTAATGTGGTGGATGGACCAGTGCTTTTGGCATGGTCTAAGAGCTGGTTAAGTATGCGTAATCTCAGGCCCCACCCTACACCTACCAAAACAGAGCCCAGCTGATTCCTAGGCACATTAGAAGTTGGAATGCATTGCTCTAGGGCAACTCTGTGTCACAGTGACAAAACAGGCCTGAAAAAATCAAGCGGCTTGCCTAGGCTCACATGGTCAATTCATTTCATGAGCAGACACATATCATTCTTTGAATCACAGTTGTTTGCAAGCTGGTGTCTGCCAATGGAGAGGGCTCAAACTGTCTTTTTCACTTCTAAGCCCTGAAGCCTGATACAATGTGCTGTACATGGTTTTCAAATATGTGCTAAATGGCGAAAATGGTTTCATAACAGACTGATTTCCTAAGAAATGGATTACAATTGCCTAAATTAGCTTCATTACCAACATAAGTAAATTTAAAATATCACTACATGCTTACATTTTATCAAATATTTGAAAACATTCTTTTTTGAAAAAGCATACCAAACCAAATCAGAATTGTAACCTGGGTTTTACCAGAGTATTTTTTCATTGAGTAAATGGAACATGTATTTTATTAACTCAGGAAATCAGAATGCTTGACACAGAGTGATTGCTCCAGTAATGGATTTACCCAACGTGGAGGAAGCTGCTTGTTAGCGGGTCTTAACAACAGACTGGGCAAGAATGTGAGCCTCACAGATAGGAACATAATGGCTACATGGGGTTCCAGTCAAGGAGATTATTTCTGACTCCTTCAGGTGGCAGGTAGCTAAAGTATATCTGTGCTGGCTCAATGATGCCCATTATCTTTGGTTTTTACTTCTCCTTAGAACTAGGGAACAGAAAGGAACAAGCCCTGAAAACACCAGAAACTACTCACTGAGCCAAACTGCTATACTATAACAAAGTACAAGGATTCATGAGATTAAAAAATGGCTCACAATATAATGCCCACTGGCGTGTTCTTAAGTTTGAATTCCTGAGCTTGGCCCCAGTTAGACCCTAACTCCTAATAGAACTAACCTTTCTGCCCAGATTAAAATGGTCTGATAATCCAGTATCATAAAAACAGCTTAATCTTGGTTGCTAGCCCAAGTGGTAATTCTCTGAAAGAAGTCTGATACATTTAGAAAATCATCAGATCAAAAATAGGTTTAAAAAAATGATGGGGGCCAACTATAAGCACATGAACCACAAAGCAAAGTGTCAATGGACTTATTCAGAACTTCAAATGAAAGAAAATCTTGCTATCATTTCAAGCGATGTATTATTCGGCTTAGAAAGTTATAGCTGAGAGAAGTAAAATATTTTCAAAAGACCAAAAAAAAAAAAAAACCCACAACCTTTTTCCATCTGACCCTCACGCTGTTTTTTCTTACAAAGAGTTCTTTATCCAAATATTGATATAGACTTTACCTGGAACAACACCAAAAATATGCTGTGTTTTCACAAAGGCAAAACATACTGTTCAATGATAGACTGGATTAAGAAAATGTGGCACATATACAGCAGGGAATACTATGAAGCCATAAAAAAGGATGAGTTCTTGTCCTTTGTAGGGACATGGATGAAGCTGGAAACCATCATTCTGAGCAAACTATCACAAGGACCCAAAACCAAACACCACATGTTCTCACTCATACGTGGGAATTGAACAATGAGAACACTTGGACACGGGGTTGGAAACATCACACACCGGGGCCTGTCGTGGGGTGGGGGGAGGGGGGAGGGACAGCATTAGGAGATATTATCTAATGTAAATGACAAGTTAATGGGTGCTGCACACCAACATGGCACTTGTATACATATGTAACAAACCTGCATGTTGTGCACATGTACCCTAAAACAAAGTATAATAATAAAAAATAAATAAATGAAATAAAAATAAAAATAAAATGTACTGTTATCCAGGCATACATAGTCAATAAGATTGCTTCATCTAAAGTCATTGTCCGACCAATCCATTGGTTATCATCAAGTAATTGGCCAGTGGTGCCTCTTCTCAACACTAAAAGTTAAAATAAAAACCCTCGGGGGAAAAAAAAACAAATAACATGCCCAAAGCTCAATTCCTCTAAGTTTTACTGTCCTAGCTCCATCAGTGCCTCTCAGGCTCCTGCTGGAAAGGCCACTGCCACCAACTATAGTCCTCCCTCTGTAGCAGTGGATTCAAGCAATCACAGGTGGAAAATATTCAAAGAAAGTATAATAAAAAAAATACAACAGTAAAAAAAATACGAACTTTTAAAAATATAGTATAACAACTGTTGACATAGCATTTATATTTTATTAGGAGTTATAAGTAATCTAGAGATGAATTAAAGTATACAGAAAAATGTGCAGAGGTTATATATAAATACTACTCAATTGTATGTAAAGGACTTGAGCATCTTTGGATTTTGCTCTCTGTGGATCTACTAGGACCGATCCTCAGTGGATACCAAGGGAAAACTATCTTGGCTCAACCACTGGCTTCTGAAAACCTGACACAGGCAAGGGAAAAACTACACAATTCCTTAAGTTATTAATATTAGTCTTTAAAAAGTATAAACAAAATGGCAGTCTCAACCTGTTACAGTCTTAACTATGTATCCCAAAAAGTCACATGCTATATAGCTCTACAGTCAATGTTATAGTATTTGGAGATGGGGCCCTGGGAAGTAATCAGGGTTAGATGCGGTCATGAGGCTAGTCCTAATGATGCCATTAGTGGCCGTATAAGAGGAAGAGAGAGAAATTGCTGTCTCCGCCATGTGAGGACTCTGCAAGAAGATAGCCATCTCAAGCTAGCAACAGTCCTCACCAGAAACCAAACCCTGCCAGACCTTGACCTTGAACTTCCAGCCTCCGTAACTGTGAAAAATAAATGGCATGGTATTTTGTTAAAGCAACCCAAGCTAAGACACAACCTATGAAGATAAAAGTTGTACCAGATAAAAGTTGTACAACAGTCAAGTCACTGAATGTGCTAACAAGAAGCTGCTAAGGACCCAGGCAAGTTTACAGTCAAACTCTGAAAGCACTAAAATTTATGACAGTTACAAAATGATGACACTAAAGTTGCAACTGTGGCTTTAGGCCTAGTCTGTAAGAGAACTAACTACATAGCAGAAGTTCACAGACTTGCTTTCTCTAAAGTGAAATCTATGTGCTTTGGAAGAAATTAGTGATATCCCAAAGCTGACTAAGGAGTTTTCTGGTTCCTTTAAACCCTAATGACAGTTTATTTCATACAGTAGTATCAAATGACCAGCTAGCCTTACAAAATTATCCAAAGATCACCACAGCCAAACTGAGCCAACAAAACTCCAATAAGCCAATTTACTTTCAAAAAACTAGCAGCTTCTGTGTCCAGAAGAGAAACTGACTTTATCAGTCTATATCCTAAGTCAGTACATTTAAATTTAGATGGATAAAAGATCCCCAACTCTTTAAGGAAAGTTATTTCAATCTGCAGTCAAAGTAGTTGCAAAAGTCTGTTTGGGGTAGCAAGTAACAGGCAAAACAAATAAGGCAGAATTAAGGTAGAGAGAATAAAAAATGTTCAACTATATACGTAAAAGTGGATTAACTAGAACAAAATCAACCTAACTACAGTACTGCAGAATAAAACGTGCTGATGAAGTGCTTGCAAAGTTAACAAGTAGGGGGAAAACAATAATAACTAATAAATTACTCCACAAGACATATGCTTATAATTCTTATTAAATTCACAATGTCGGCCAGGAGCGGTGGCTCACGACTATAATCCCAGCACTTTAGGAGGCTGAGGCAGGTGGATCACCTGAGGTCAGGAGTTCAAAACCAGCCTGGCCAACACAGCCAAACCCCGTCTCTACTAAAAATACTAAAAAATTAGCCAGGCGTGGTGGCAGGCACCTGTAATCTCAGCTATTGGGAGCCTGAGGCAGGAGAATTGCTTGAACCCAGGAGATGGAGACTGCAGTGAGCTGAGATCGCACCACTGCACTCCAGCCTGGGCAACAGAGTGAGACTCCATCTCAAAAACAAAAATAAAAAATTCACAATGTTTTCAATATATATTTGCTGAGTAGATAAAATACATACTAATCTATACTGACAGGTTTTCTTTCCTGTTTACATGTGAACTTTGAAATAATTAACTGTCAAGTCAATTAACCCTTAGTTAAATGAAAACCCTAAAATAGTTTAGCAAGCATTAATGGTGTTTTGAAGTTTCTATCATTATATTTCTCGAACCATGCAAATGAGAAACACCATCTTCTAACTATCCCAATGAGAAGTTCTGCTTCTCAACTGGAAGAGCAGCAGCCCAGAATAAAGAATGGCATGAACTCCATGAATTTAAATTAGGGTTTTCTGGGGGAGGGGGAAGAAAACTTATGCCAAGTGACAAGACTACTTAATCTCTGAGGAAGAATAATTCAAGGTATTGTCATCGGCAAAATATTAGGAACTGAAGGAAAGAAGAGTAGAAAAGAATTAACATTAAAAAGACCTCAAAGACGAGAAAAAGGATAATGAAGTAAAATTAGTAACACTTGCAATATTATCAATTATTCCTAGTCACCCAATTAAAGCAATCCAGTAGCTTTCTAAGGATAAATTTCAAATATTTGGAAAAAAGGCCTCTGCTGAAAGATTAAGCCAAGTTTGTTCTTATTACAGTCTGAAAGGTTTTTCAGGCCTTCTACAGCATCTATGAGAACACTCATACTTTTGGCCATAGTATTTAAAGACTGACTGCTCTGCAGGTGTTAACAAACAGCTTAATTCCAATGGTGGATAAGACCTGCATACTAATGGGTTTTGAAAGCCTGTTAAACTAGGTGCCTATCTCCATTTTCCAGTTCTTCAATCTATTCTACACACTGTAGCCAGATTAAGGATAACATTATTTAGCAACTGCACAGGAGCCTCAAAAGGTAACTCCTAACCAAAAAAATCTGAAGTTAAGCCTAGTATCCAAGGCCTCTGAAATCTGATTCCATCACACGTTTTCTACCCTTACCATGTCCCAACAGAGTTTCATACACTGGAATGTTCATAGTGATTTGAATGGTGTTGCTTCATTGTCTTCCCCATCTTTGTCCAGTACTACTCTTCAATTATCACTGCCAAAGCCATGTGGTCTGAGGCATATTCTGATCTCATTCAAATCAGGTGGAACCTCTCCCTTCTTTAAATGTCTATATCCTATTCTTTGAACTTCTCTTACTCAATTACTGAGTTCTATTTTATGGTGAGTAATTTGTGTACACATAGTATGTTCCCTAGTCACAAGTATTCTGTCATATCATCTTTGTATCTCCCACAGTCCCTAATATGCAGGTTTCTATAAAGATCTGCTGATTCACTAAACAAACACCTCAAAAGATGTTACAGTAGAGACAGATACATTTTAAGGAAAAAAAAAAGTTTATATATGTCACATTTTAAAGTAGAATACCAAATGGTTCAAATCAACTATGTGTTAATTCCTTAAAACTAGTAATGTTTATCCTTTAATCTACATCCACGTATTTTCACTTATTACAATCAGATCCCAAATTTACCTCAAACAAGCGTAAGTCAGCAGGAACTCTATCCCCAACAGAAAGGCAAACTGTATCACCTGGAACCAAGTCTCGGGCAAGTGTATGCTCCAATTTTCCTTCACGCACACTGTAACACGAAATAGAAACAACCATGGTTAAAAAAAAAAAATTCATGCAACTTGTCTTAAAAAATTATTTCCAGTAGGCTTGTCTGAGGAAAAGGCAAATATAAGAACCAAGAAAAAGACTGTTTCTAAACACTTAAGATGCCAAGATGACAGAAAATAACTTGAAAAACAAATTATTTGTTCAAATGTAAAATGTGCAAATTGAAGCAACCTTTTGAATCACCTGGGTCTGTTTGATTGTGAATCACTATACCCAGAACAGGGCTTAGCACACACTTGCGCATGGACACGCGCATGCATGCGCGCGTGCGCGCACACACACAGACACACACACACACACACACACACACACACACACACACACACTGTTAAATACAGCCGGGCGCGGTGGCTCACGCCTGTAATCCCAACACTTTGGGAGGCCGAGGTGGGCAGATCACGAGGTCAGGAGATCGAGACCATCCTGGCTAACATGGTGAAACCTGTCTCTACTAAAAAATACAAAAGATAATCTGGGCGTGGTGGCAGGCACCTGTAGTCCCAGCTACTCAGGAGGCTGAGGCAAGAAAATGGCGTGAACCCGGCAGATGGAGCTTGCAGTGAGCCGAGATTGTGCCACTGCACTCCAGCCTGGGTGACAGAGCCAGACTCCATCTAAAAAAAAAAAAAAAAAAAAAAAAAAAATCTGTTAAATACATCCATGTCTCTAGAATCTCGGATTTTAAAGTTTTCAATGGTACAGTTTTGCTACATTAATGAGACCAGGAACTTTTTGTGTCAGATTAATAGTATCTTCCTTATGTTCAGACAAAGTGGGGATAACAATATGTACGGTACTAGTCACATTCAACTTCTATTTTTAAAGGGGCAGAAATCCATACCAAAAAAAGGATCATACCAATGGCATTCTGGTGGCACAAGTTTACTCAATTCTTCAAGAGATTTTTCTGAACGATATTCCTATTCAAACAAAAAAAAGTAGAATTTAATTTTGCTCCCATGAATATATTCCATTTAGACTTATTAATCTCAATCATTATTTTAAAATTTCCCCCAATTCTCATCTTTTCCTTTACTTGTGCTTATATTCTTACCCAGAAAAGCTTGTCCCTTATTTTAAAATGTTAAATGTAGAGATCAATTTTGATAATTAAATATTCCCAGTTTTACATTTTAATATTCAATGTACAAACCTAAGGTTATTTAGAATAAAAATGAAAACTGACTAGTATGTCCAAAGAGTACATAATTTGAGTCATTAAAAGTTTTAAGTCATTGAGCCTTAAAATTTAGATAATCTTATGTTAAGTGTCTAATGACCACAGAAGTCAAAGATAATTAACCGTAAACAACATCTGCTTTAGGAATTTAAGCCCATGCTAACAGCAATGGTTTACAAAGTAAACCATTAGAACAAACATGGGATAAACAAGGAGTAAGATGTGGCTGGCTCTATACTGACAGACCCAGTTCCCATCAACCTGTGTATCCAAAAAGGAAAATTCTCAGGAGTTCTAACAATGTGATTTCTAGCCTTCTTCCATCCAGATAACAAATAGCTGAGGGTCAGTCAGAAACATCCTTCAACTCACAATACTACTTAGTCCACATTTCCATGAGCAGTCTTGCATCACACATCACTGCTATTTTTGCCTCATGTCTGTAGTAAGCAAAAGAATCTTCTAATCTAAGGTCAAAAGAGGGAGAGGCAAATAGTGGAGGTAGAAGGGTTGGGAATGTTTTGAAATGACTGCAGTGCTAGTACTAGTCAAAATGTCCTATCCATCACAAACTTCAAATAGAAAACACAAGGCTATGTAAGAATAACTTAGAACACAATCAGTCTCTACTTAATCTTAGAGTGACAAATATAAGGAAAATCTACAAATGTAAAAATCATAAGACAACACCCCAAACACATGAAGGATATTAAGGAATTTGGAAGTTTACCCAAAAATTCTGTAATATGCTAGAAAATACCCATCAATCCTAGATCCCAGTAATAAATGACATAGATGCTGCCCAATCTTTACTTATGTCTTCTGGTTTCTTAGCCTCTACTCCCTACAATTATAAAGATACCTCTATATCAAAATGATCATTAAACATACCACCTAAAACCTAATAAATGCCTAAAAGTCATTTTTCAAATTTATTGTAAGGTGACTTCATTACGACTATATAAAACAATTAGCTATTTTTATGGCTGGGAAGAAGTACAGTGGTGTGGGGAATGGGGATTGCAAAGACACACGGAAAAAAGGCAGGACATAAATATAAAAAGGAATATAAAAAGCCCTCTTAAGACACAAGTAATATAGCACAAATAACAAATAATGATAAAGTATTAAGAATTTTTTATACATTTTTGATAAAGAGCTTTTTGATTAAAGCATTATGATAAGTTCAACTGACAGTAAATAGGATCTTTTTGGAGAGGATTTTTACTTGTTTATAGACTATTTTGTTGGTTTCACAGGCATATTTGGTGATGGGTCACATGTGTGTAAGAATCAGACCTAGCAATTTGAAACTAGGCTTTTTATAAAGTTTTCATCCTTTTGTGAGATTTCTATCAAATGTACCTATCATAAACATATTTAATAGTCTCAGCCATAGCATTTAATGTGTATAACAACACTATCTTGTGTAAAATTCCATATTGACTTATGTTAAAATCACAATTTTGTGGTGTTTTTTGAAAACATGGGCTTTCTAGTGATCAAAGAGAACAAGGTACTAAGGTCTTCCATACATAGTGATACTATTTGCAGGAATCCTTCTGAAGTAGGGCACTCCACATATCTGACACATTCTTAAAGACGCAAGAAGGTCCAGTTAGTGGTCCAGTGGGTCATATCACTCACTTGGCTGAATGAATAGCTGCCTTGAATAATGGTTAGCCTGACATGACCTATGCTAGACTAACCAGCTCCACCTGACCATGGGCAACATTTGTCTAAGCAAGAAGATTCCCCTAAAAGCGGAACCCTGATAGTCTACTAATGGAGCTCACAAACCTACTGCAAATGATCTGATTCCAACTGGCTTTCTACACTGGGTTACTACAGAACTAATAACAACTAGGTTAGAGATTACCTTAAGAGGCTGGGATAGTGACAAGAAATACCCACGTAATAAATCGTAGATGTAAGAACAACCATAGTTATTCAAAGTATAGGCTTCAGATTCAAAACAGCACGAACTTCAGGCTTATGCAACAATATTACATTTTTCTCTAAGCTAGAATAATTCTATTCTTGTTAACCATGTTCTAGCTAAAAAGGAAATCTGCTGATATTGTGAAACACTGTTCTAAAATCTACAGAAGTTTCAGATATTTAAATAAACATAAAACTAAGCCTACATTTTTATTTGTCTGTACTTATTAATAGAAATCTTGACAGTATCTCCACATTATTCATAGTAATTTTTAAAAGGGGCTACTTTACATATGTTTTATTTACTGTTTGAATTACTTTGATTCAGATCACAACACCCCTTTTGTGGAGGAATGAGAAATTGTTTTAAAGGGAGGGGAGAGGAGGTCATGCCAACAATGAGTAGAACCATTTTAATTCCTCAAAACAGACTCAAATAAAATAAGGTTAAGTGATAAATTCAGCAAACAAGTGTAGCATTTGGCTAAGGGAATCAGTCACAGAAACCTGTGGAATTTTCTTCAAATGGTACATCACAGATCGACCTTTTAATTCTATACTTTTTTGTTTCATCTAGACTTAGCTCTAGTAGGCATTAAAACATAACAGTGTTATGAAACTATAAACTCTGGTCCAATTTTTTAATTGAAAAAATAAAAAAGTTTACTGCTGGATTTTATTTCTATTACTATGCTTTTTGTTTCCATCTGCTTCAGTTATCCTTAACATTATCAAATAAAAAACTAGATTTTCTTCATCTCACTACCTAAATCAAAGCAGTTCCTTAGTCCCACACCACAAGCTTCCCTGAAGAGTTGTCTGTATCTGAAATTACTTGAAAAACAAAGAATAAGTTGTTCTGATGGGCATTACAACCCCCCAATAACGGTAGGTTCTACCACAAGACACCTTGATTTTTAAGCAATTAACATACCATTTTCATGTTGGCAAAATAGAGTACTTACCTGAACAAAGGCAACTGTAACAACGATAAGTATTGCCTAAACAAAAGAAACAGGCTTTTAAATCAGACATTAACTTGAGAAGTAACTGTTAACTGTATTTTATTTTTCTAACTATCTGCAGTCCCACAATAACAGATTTTAAACACTGAGATCAGCTGGAAAAGAAATCACAACTTTACCTTAAGGCCTGTGGGGAAAGAAGCTAACAGTTTACAGTGGCTTGCCATTACCAGGGCAGCTTCTCTAACTTTTTGATCTCAGGGCCCTTTTATGCTCTCACAAATTGAGGACCAGCTTTTAAGTGGGTTATATATACTGATATTTACCATATCAAATTTTTCAACTAGTCAGTTTTAATTTCTACTCATCAACTCATGTAAAAAATTTTAAACCTCATTACATGCTAACACAAATAACTTTATGAAAAATAAATTTTCCAAAAAAATTGTGAGAAAAATAGCAGTGTTTTAAATTTTTATATTTTAATATATGACTTTCTAGAAAGCTAGTATTCCATTTACTATAACATATTGTTCAGGCTAAAGTGTATGAAGAAAATCCAGCCCCATACAGATACGGTGGAAAAGGGAGGAGCATTTTTTCTTTTTTATTTTTTTTAGGGAGGAGTTTTTTTTTTTTTTTTTTTTGAGACAGAGTCTTGCTCTATTGCCCAGGCTGGTGTGCAGGGGCGTGATCTCAGCTCACTGCAAGCTCCGCCTCCGGGGTTCACGCCATTCTCCTGCCTCAGCCTCCCGAGTAGCTGGGACTACAGGTGCCCACCACCACGCCCAGCTAATTTTTTTTTTTGTATTTTTAGTAGAGACGGGGTTTCACCATGTTAGCCAGGATGGTCTCAATCTCCTGACCTCATGATCCACCCGCCTCAGCCTCCCAAAGTGCTGGGATTACAGGCATGAGCCACCATGCCCAGCCTAGGGAGGAGTATTTTAACAGCTTTTTCAGATGATTGTGGATATTCTTCTTAGCTACTACACCAAAACTCAAGTGCTAGTTACTTAAAGGTAATCTGCAATGTAGAATATAAAACTGTATCAATGCACCTTTCATAATCTATTATATCGAAATCCATTGACCTATCTTGCATTTGAATGGATCTTTTACCATTTCAGATTTTGTAATGTCACGCATTGGTCTTCTGGGAAATATTGGTTCACTTGGTTATTCAAATCTTCCCCAAGATTGCCCAAATCTTCCCCAAGGTTACCACATTTCGTAACAATTTTTTTTTTAAAAAAAACACACATTTGTTGAAATCACTACTGATCTAATTGGAATAAAGTCTTAAATACTGGGATGCTATCCAGCCCATAAGAGTGCATACAAATTTTCCAAAACCCTAATTATTGCTTGAAAACCTGAATTTTATCATTAGCAACAAATTCTGCCAGTTGCCTTTCCTTGGTCTGATTCGCTCATTTAATTCACTTTCAAAAATAAGAATCTGCTGGTTACCCAAGTCCTAACACCCATAGTTTGTCTATGAGTCAGTCTTTCAAGTACAAGGCTAGTTTGCCTCACAATCATCACCCTTCCTTGAGACAACCATTGTATTTCAATATACAAAAGAGTTTCATGCATACTTCCCATTTCATTACATAAATTATTATGAAGGTATGTACTCAAGGGTCCAGATTTAATAAAATTAATTTTTACTGCTTTATCAAGAACATTCTTAAGAAACATGAAAGAAAACAATGACTGTTAACAAAGTTGGGTGCCATTACTCTGAATTGTGCTAAGGCTCTAACAGTTTCACCTGCCATTGTTTTTGTGCCATTAATGCCAAAAGTCTATAATTGAAAGACAAATAATGTTTTAGTATTATTAAAATGGTTGTGACCTCACATACCCCTTGAACAGGTCTCAGGGATACCTGGGATACTGCAAGCAATAGTTCAAGAGCTGCATCTCTACAATAACATCTACAGTGTTCTTAAGCATAAGTGCTTTTACTTGCTACAAATTTTTTATACAAAAATGAAATGGAGCAAGAAGGAAAAAGATGAGAAAACAGTTCAATGAAAGCTAGAATAACCTAGCTGGAAAGAATAAAATCATATATAGTAAATGTATGCTGTAAATACAGCATGCACTATAAGGAATATTTTTAATTTCACATGTCAGGCTTTAGTTCACAACTAGTCAAAATATATTCTCAACTGCAAAGTGAAATAAATTTAAAATTTAATCAGATAATTATAAAATTTCATATTTGTGAAAATTACCAGTTAAAGAATTTTCATGTGTGCTAATCATGGACTTTTGAACATTACTCAAAATTACTGTAACTATAATAAAAGCAGAATTTGAGCCAGGCACAGTGGCTCACACCTGTAATTTCGACACTTTGGGGAGGTCAAGGTGGGAGAATCACTTGAAGCCAGGAGTTTAAGACCAGCCTGGGCAACATAACAAGACCCTGTCTTTACAAAAAAATTTTAAAATTGCTGGGGGTGTTAGCATACACCTGTAGTCCCAACTACTCAGGATGCTGAGGCAGAAAACAGCTTGAGCCCAGGAGTTCGGGGCTGCAGTGAGTCATGACTATACCACTGCACTCTAGCCTGGGCAATACAACAAGAAACTGTCGCAACAAAAAGAATAAAATAAAAGCAGAATTTGGACACTGAAAAAAATCTGAGAGCACTTCTCAATTTATTTTCCAAAATAAAAACCAATCCCAATTTATACACTTACTCAACAGATTAAAAATATGTAATTTTTTTCTTACCACAGTGATACTGACGGCATCATCAAACTGATGCATTAAAACACTGATGACTGCAGAAGCCAGAAGCAGCATAATAAGGGGATTTTTAAACTGAAAGTAAAAACAAACAGCAATTCAACACAGTTTTGTACATGACAGTTCTCTCAGCAAAGGCTTTAAAAAAAAAAAACCATAAGAGCATGACTGGAAAATTACAAAAGTCTATACTCAGTTTATTTTATGTATCTCTTCAATTAACAAAAAAAGCGTTTATACTTAACTACATTTAAAAGCTTTTTAACAGTTCCTTTTCAGAAAAAAAAAATTAAATAGCAATACTTAAAACTAAGAATTAACCAATTCCTTATAGTATACAGCAATTTTTGGTATATTAATTTAAGAAATACAGCTGTTCTGAATTTCTACTGAGGCTAGAAAAAGCAGGAGAAGATGATTTTTAAGCTAAAAATTTGGGCGAAATACTGAATAGAACACTGAGATTCAAACATTTCTCAAGTACAATGGTGTAGATTACAATTCTGTGGTTGACTCACATATCACAGAAAAATTCCCTCCTCTCCACAAAAGAAACTGAAGATTTTCCTCAAGGCTAGCTTTCCTGGTTTCTATCTACCACAGCAAATCATATCAAAGAAACAGGACTATAGCATCAACCTGATCAGAAAGCATTTAAATGACCTCACACCAGAGTCAACCCCAAATTCTTCCAGTTGGACATTCTATTCCTTGAAACTCTGATGTTAGAATCTCTTCCTCTGCTAAAGTGTTACATCACTGTCAAAGTTGCAAAGTAATTAGGCTAAAAAGAATCCATCCCACCAGAAAGCCCCAGCCCTTAGATACCATAGCTCTGAGGTTACATGCCACCACCTCCAAAGCCCCTTTATGGTTCCATTCCCTGGAACAAGTCCCAATCCTTCTTCACATCGGAATCCTATAAGAAACTTTTAACAATACCAATGCCCAGATTCACACCAAGTTAATTAAATCAAAATCTTTAGGCATAAGGCCCAGGCTTTAGCATTTTTTAAGCACTCCCCAAGTGATTCTAACGAGGATTTTTAAAAAATAATAAGTTAAACTGCCCTAATAAAATAACACTGCAACTGCAATATGGTTCAGGGCTGACCAACCACAAACCTGACTGAGTCAGAGTACCTAGGTTTGAATCCAGTTGCTGGCATCTGTGTGTCACCTTAATCTTTTTAAGCTCCAGATTCTTCATCTGGTAAAACAGAACCTTATACCAAAGAACTGTTATAAGGATTAACTAAGAATGTACATTAAAGCACCGTGTAAACCAAAAAAAGTTCTTAAAAATGTTAGCTATTAACGTCACACTTTGAGGGCAAGACCCATGATCTTTTTTATTTTCCCCTAAAAAAGCTGTGCCACATTACTAAGCACACCACTTGATGGATGGCAGGCTGCAGAGGAATAAAGAATCACCCAGTGCTTTGTGATTACGATTACTATTTACTGTTATTTGTTTAGTTGTGCTTAACTACATTACAGGCACTATTTAATTCTCACAGGAATCCCAAGGGGCAGGTGCTCTAGCTTTGGTAACAGGATCAAGAAAGTAAAACATTAAATCATACTGCCTAGGGATAAGTCAAATCATTACAATTTATAAATCCAGAGTAAACTATGTTAATGCTTTCTGAAGTCTTTGGTAATGTGGGAATGTGGTAAGTATGAAAATACAAAGACACATATAAATAATATTCCATAAAAATAAGACATATACACACAAGGTTCATCCAACCTTTAAAATTCCAGTGTTGCTACTTTAGACAAACTCATTCGCAAAATTAAGCCTGGCAAATTTAAGCTCATTAGCAGAAAAGGCACTTTAGAAAAGTTAAACATAGATCGTTTTAGAAAGACCGCAGGTTAAAAGGCACAGACATTTACTAAAAAGAAGTTTTTAGCAAAAAATATTTGTTTAGCAAACCAACCTAATTACTTCAAAACTAATCATAGTAACCTGTAACTTTTTACATTAACACAATCGTTATCAAGATAAAAGCAGTCTAGAATAAGTCTTTCCTAAAATTTAGGATGAAAAAATATAAATAACTATCATCTACTGAGAGCTAACTATCTCCCGTAAGGTTATCATCACCATTTTATAGATAAGGCTCAGAGGATAATAAAGATGACACAACTGGTAAGAAATGAAGGTGTAATTTGTACCCAGGCAGCCTGAGTTTAACTTACCTAACTTACTTTTTACTAGTTTTCTGAGCTGGCCATGATTACCTTAAAAAATATTGCCAGTCCTATCATTTAAATAGTGTAGGTTTGATATCAGCAAAGGACACTACTGTCAACAGTATTATCTTTGTGTAATATACCCATATGGAAAATGTTGTCTTTAAGATTTACATACTAAAAATACAGGAATTCCAACCTAACAGTAAGCCCCAACAAATGAAAAATTTTAGGTAAAAAACATCTAAAAATTATTTCCTTTCTCCATAAACAGTATCACAAAAGTAAGCAACTACATAACAGAAGTCCATGTATTAATAAATTACACAGTAGAAGAGGAAGTAAAAGTATCTCACCTGAGAAATATACTTCTTCCACAGTGGCTCATCTTCACTAATATCAAACTCATTCCAGCCATGAAAGGCTCGCCTATGACTAACTTCACATTTGTTTAGACCATTCTGAAGATCAGCCTATTAGAGTTTATACATGAAAGTTATTGAAAATGTTAGCACAGAAAAGAAAAACACAAAAAAGCACATAATATAATGTATTATCACATTTACAGAAACTACAACAGTCAAAACTAGTCTATTATGAGAGCAACCTATCAGTGGTTGCCTGGGACCAGAAGTGACACATAGAGAGGGAGGGATTAATTACAAAGGGACATGGGGGAGCTTTCTGGAGTGATAAAAATGTTCTATCTTAATGGTGGTGGTGATTACATTTGTCAAAATGCAAATTGTACACTTTTAAAAAGTACATTGTATTTTATGTGAATTATATCTCAACAAAATTGATTTTTTAAAAAAAATGTAAACAAAAAGGCAGAGTTTACCAAACAAACAAAATTTAGGGAGAAAAATAACACAATCAGCCACAAGACTTACAGAAAGCATAACAGTACATTTTAATTAGCTTTTTCCTTTTCATTGTTGTTTCGCCATTTTCTAAAATTAGTTTCTCCCAAAGAACGTTCAATGGGCCATAAATGTCTTCCTTGTTCTCTGGGCCTATCAAAACCCTGGGGTTGGTATTAATTTATACTCTTGGACTGTGTAATTATTTCATGCTCAAATTTTGTGCTTCCTAAATTACTCAAAAGCAGTGAAGTTCAGATGAACTTCTTCTTGGAACAGTTTATGTTCTATAAACACTACCTACATCCTTCAGTTATTCTCTCTCATGATTTAGTATTCTAACTATTAAAGAATAAAATTATCTGTACCCCCAAAATAGTTGCCCTGACCAAAAGGTTATTATAATAGAGTCCAATAAAGGAGCCTTTCAAAACAAACATATTACAAATAAGTGGTTTTAAAGCAGAGTATAAATACAATAACAACAACAACAAAAACCTAAAAAAGGATACCCATGTTTTTAATGCTATCACTAAGATATGTGACTGCTGAAGGAAAAATAAAAAATATTATCTTTTTCATGTTTCGATAGATACTACTTTTGAAAACCAGGAAGAGCCTACATAAGCAATTACAGATTATCTGCAATTCTAAACTTGTACTTAAGTTTTTACTTTACCTTAGAAAACCCTTATCAAAAAAAGATAAACTCCTACCACTACTTACGTTAATTATTTTCCTAATCCAACCAATCCTTACACAGCACTAATATAGTTCCTAGAAAAGCTATTATGTTCTAGAGCTGCACTGTCCAATCAGGTAGCCACTAAGCCACCTGTAGTTATTTAAATAAATTTAAATTAAATTAAAGTCAGTTTCTCCATCACACTAGCCACATTTCAAGTCATATAGTCATGTTTAATTCTGTCAAGTTTAACCCCATGTCAAGCTCAACAGTCCTGTTCAACTTGTGGCTACTATGCTGAATGGCACAGAACAGAATATTTCTATCACTGAAGAAAAGTAAATTAGACAGCACTGTTTTATAGAGTCTAAGTGACTGACTTTACACCATCTAGTCCCTTCCTCCCCACTAACCACTTACTTGGAGAATGCTTGCAACTTCACTGACTGGTAATTCACTTGCTTTTTTTGATGTCAATACAGGAATCATTGTCTCATTTTCACCATTAGGTATTTTTTGAAAACGTGCAACCTAGGAAGTAAAACCAAAGAAAAAATATTTGAATATAGCAAACAAGTGTAATGCAGTCTAGAATAATAAAAATCCAAAAGTTCACAGCAACTAATTTTCCAGTTAGAAAAATATTTCAGACTAATTACGTAGCTAGTCCTAATAGGAAAGACAATTTTATACTAACCACATGCTACTTCTCAAGAAATTACATTTCAAAAACTAAGCCATCGGTGCCCAGCTAGAACACAAAATTTTCACATTGAATGAAAAGCACGCTATTTCTCCACCAACATAAGAGTAAAAAGTAAAACAGATGTCCTGTCTAGCAGATCCTGATGATTACAAATAATCATAATCCTCTAAACTCATTACGTTTAACATGCAAGACAAAGTACAGCTAAGCTTTCTCCATTTTAACTACTCCTCTTAGTCAGTCAGCTCATAGCTGATCTACCCAGAAAAGACAACTGGCTACTCTTTCAACGCACCATGACAACAAGTCAGACTTTAAGAGCTATTCACAAACTAGGAGAAAAACAAGAAGTAAAAGAGACCAGACAAGCAAAGGATGCACAGGTTAGTGAAGGGGAGCTGGTGGGAAGGGTGGGGAAGGCTGTGAACAAGCAGTTAGTCACGAGATAGTAGTAATCAAGGTACGTACTTGATGCAGCTTCATAAGTAATTATCTATAGCTACAGAAAACTGTTTAACACAACTCTAGAAATAAATCCTCAACACAGACTTGTTTTGAGTCCTAAGCTGAGATTCTTTACAGACAAAATGCTTTGAGTGAAAACAGAAGGGAGACAAAAGCTGCCCACTACTGAAACTTAAGAGACGAAAACACTTGAATTGCCACACATCCACTCAATTAAAATAATACTGAAACTAAAATTATCATCTTACTGCCCAGATACAAGTTTTTAAGCTGTCAGGTAAGATCTTTTCAACCTTGGATAATTAACATTTTTAGGATAAAATATTTCCCTAAAACTTTTAAAGCAGTATCTTTAAGCAAATGAAATCAAAGAAGATTCTACTACATTAGAGTGTCATTACAGAGGCCTGCACACATAAAGGCTTTTTGCATTTACTCCAAAAAATAGTAAATTGCTGAGGAAAAAAAGTCTTCTCTCAGTATGACTGAGTTTCTGGAACAATCAAATTCATGTTTTCTAATCTTATTTATGTAAAAAGTACAGTTGGACGTTTAAATACTTTAAAACAAAGAGCAGTAGTATTTTTCAACTTTTAATGAGGAGATATCGGTGAATAAATATGAGGAAACTAGAGACAGATTACCTTTCTTTACTGCAAATTACTGAAATTATTTTATAGCATAATATTTTTACATAATTAAGAAATGTAAAAACTTAGAGAAAAGATTAGGAATTTTACAAAAGCTACACACATGTTTTAGAGCCACTGAAATGCCCTTATTTCAAATCTATAAAACAAACTAGGACAGGGGAAAGACTTCATTGAACCGTTCCTAAGTAAAACATTGGAGAAGATTCCCCCCAAAATGATTTAAATCTTAAAACAATGAGAATTGAAATAGATGACATAGTTATTTCATCTTGTGAGATCATAAAGCAAAATTAAGAAGAATCAAATATATTTACACTGCCTGCAGTGACAGATCAATAAAATCTCTTATTTCTAAGATCCCCAAACCTCATCTTCTTCATATATATAACCTGGGGATAATATGGCTAAACAGAGATGTTTGAGGATTAAATACACTAACACAGCATTTGACTTACCACTAGTAAGAGCTCAAATGACAGCTATTAATACTTTTCTTCCAACAAGGTCAATACAGACTAAACAAGGTGAGTAAAGTCAGTTCATGATAATTTCCTATTAATGTTTACTTTTCTATCAATAATATATTGGAAATTGCTAACTCTAGTACCCAGCATGCAATATGACAGCCTTACTCATAAAATGTTTCTCAACTAATCCTTTGGTAGTTGGTATATAGATAGGGTCTACATTTGAACACACTTTACATAAAACCCTTTGGGGGTATTCCATGGGCTCAAAGTAGCTGTAAATCTCCAGAGTAGGAAACGGTATTATTTCATATAATAAACAATAAAACACTAAAGGGGCATGATACTCTCTAAATATATAAAGGGCTGCTTTGAGATGCTCTCCAGCTGCAACCACACCTGCACCTCAAGTGTGTTCACAAGTGGAGGAGTACTAAGCAACAGAAAAGCAAGATGGTAAAGTCCATCCCAGAATGCCAGGCCATATTTAACTTTGTCATTCCACATGAGTACTGCGTGGAGTAGAAGGTAGCAGAAACTCATTTCAGGAATACAAGGAGATGAAGAGTGATAAGGCATGTAGGTATTTTAACGAAGAACATGGAAGCTGCCCATTTGGAGAGAATTGTTCCAAGTCTGCCTACCCTGATGGTGGTAAAAGGAGCCAGAGACAGAAAATGGGAACATAAACAGATACAGGGCCCAAGGAAGGAACCAACTCTGGGAGCTCACTGAGGAAACAGAACAGCAACCCCTTTGACAACAGTGACAAGAGTCTGTCATCTTTGAGATAGGTGAGATGCTGCTTAAGCTCTGTCTGCAGGTGGAGATGATGACCTGACAGTCTCTGATGATAAATGCAGCTTGTTTCATGATAAGCTAGATGATTTTTACAATTTGAATATACAGCAACATTGCATGGCGTGTGAACTAGTCTGCTGAGACTCAGATGGTGGCTGTCCCCTGTGGTCATATAGCAGTTGCCTGTTTCTTTCCTAGGCAGGCCTAATCAACTCCAGGTGCAGTCATAATAATTTTTACCCAGAGCTGGTTTTCTCAATCCTTCATCTTTCCCCAAGGAATATACTGTTTTCTCTATTTTAAAAAGTTAAAAAGGCCGGGCATGGTGGTTCACGCCTGTAATCCCAGCACTTTGGGAGGCTGAAGCGGGCGGTTCACAAGGTCAGGAGATCGAGACCATCCTGGCTAACATAATGAAACCCCGTCTCTACTAAAAAATACAAAAAATTAGCCAGGCATGGTGGCAGGCGCCGGTAGTCACAGCTACTCAGGAAGCTGAGGCAGGAGAATGGCATGAACCCGGGAGGCAGAGCTTGCAGTGAGCTGAGATCACGCCACTGCACTCCAGCCTGGGCGACAGAGCGAGACTCTGTCTCAAAAAAAAAAAAAAAGTTAAAAAAAAAATCTTAAAGATGGTTTTCTTGTGAAATAAATTTAACTACCAGTTAGTATATGTAGGTTTGTTGTTTTACCTGTTTTCAACCAGATTCACATAGTACTTATATAGTGTTTATGAACTTTCCATATTCATTTTGAGGACACCAGATACAAAACTAAAAGCACTGGCCCTGCTTTGGGGTCCAAGAATAGAGGTGAAGGGTAAAAGGATCTGATGTGGCAAGCAGACTTCTGCTACAGACTGAAGAGGTGGGTCCTTGAGATTTCCAGTGAAATATGTACATCCGTGTTTATATAGCTGTTTTCTACCAAGATGGTATAATTCCTACTATGTGTACTTGCTCACTGGTTTCATTGCACACAAGAATACTACTGGGCAACCAAAACCAGGCGCAAATGTGTTGAGATGTTTAATGTGTTTCACATGATAGGAAAACAGCGAAAGAACACATATAAAGATCACATGCATAAAATACACATGGAGTTGGAAGGCGACGCCCAAGGGCTGAGAGACCTGGTATGTGAGCGTGAGTGTGTGTGATAAGGTTCTCATCCCTGCATACATGTGACATTCCTAGCCTTAGTAGAAAAACTTGGTTTAATAGTTTGAGCCTAGTATGGCAGACACATTTTAAAGGACAAAGCAGTATACTGGTAGTTATTACCATACAGCAGTGCTAGTTTTGTCTACATATTTATAGAAATGAGGATTAGCCAGAGCAGTTAAAACGATCTGGTTATCCCATATATTAACACATACTGGGTCTTGGATATACTATTTTATTTAATGTTTTAGTATCACCTAGGCTTTCCAGTTCAAGTACTTTTTGAAAACCTTTATCTCCTCATTGGAGTAGTTTTGCTATCCAGTTTTTGTGTTTGTTTTATTTGCCTCGTTCCATGCCTGAACTTTGTAGGTAGATACACATTATTCGAAACTATATCTAGATGCTCAAATTAAGATGGTGGATAGGAGGCAGGACTAGCTTGTATCTCCCATTCTGACAGACAGAGCAACATGTGGAGACTCACATCATGAACTTTTGCTACAATACAAGAACTACCACAGGAACAAACCAGGAAAGCCAAGAGAATCCACAGACCCTTTGAAGAAATTGGATCACCACTGCAGGTTCTCTGGGAGGCCTAAAAACTATGAGTCCATTTGCTTTCTCAAGGGGGAGGCTTGTGGTCTGGGGCAAAGTATCCACCCTGGTAACCGGCTACCTGGAAAAAGACTTGGTGATGTTGGGGAGGCATGATGGAAGTGAGACCAGCCTTTAAGACCACAGGTTGCATGGAAGCAAGGTAAGGTCTGTGACTGCCAGCTTTCCCCCACTTCCCTGGTGGCCTGTATGACTCAGCAGAGGCAGCCACAATCCCCCTGGGACTATAACTCCACTGGACTGGGAACCACACCCTCACCCCACCCCCCGCAACAGCAGCTGCAGCAAGCTCACCCAAGGAGAGGCTGAGACACCCCTATTCCTGCCCCCACCTCGTAGTCTTTCTCTAGCCATCCTGGTAGCCAAAGACAAAGGTCATAATCTCTTGGGAGCTCTATGGGCCTGCTCACTGCCTGAGAAACCTGAATACTTGACC
Source organism: Homo sapiens (assembly GCF_000001405.40). Classification (NCBI taxonomy): domain Eukaryota; kingdom Metazoa; phylum Chordata; class Mammalia; order Primates; family Hominidae; genus Homo; species Homo sapiens. The sequence continues at coordinate 130,925,634 of NC_000003.12, read as the reverse complement.
AAGTGTCTCTAGGGCAAATGTGCATCCTCCCTGTAGCACCACAGCTGATATGCTCTTGAAAGTGCCAACTCCCAGCTGGAGGACAACCAACACAAAACCAGCACACTAAACAAAAACACAACCAAGGACCCTCACAGAGTCTACTTCACTCCCCAGCTACCTCCACCAGAGCAGGTACTAGTATCCACAGCTGCAAGACCTGAAAACGGATCACATCATAGGACTCTTTACAGACACTCGCCAGTACTAGCCTGGCACCTGGTAGCTCGACTGGGTGGCTAGACCCAGAAGAGCAAAAACAATCACTACAGTTTGGCACTCAGGAAGCCCCATTCCTAGGGGAAAGGGGAGAACACCACATCAAGGGAGAACCCCATGGGACAAAAGAATCTGAAAAGCAGCCCTTGAATCCCAGATCTTCCCTCTGACATAGTCTACCCAAATGAGAAGGAACCAGAAAAACAATTCTGGTAATATGACAAAACAAGGTTCTTTAACACCACCAAAAGATCGTACCAGCTCATCAGCAATGGATCCGAACAAAGACGAACTCTCTGAATTGCCAGAAAAAGAATTTAGAAGGTCAATTATTAAGCTAATCAAAGGAGGCACCAGAGAAAGCTGAAGTCCAACTTAAAGAAATCAAAAACATGATACAGGATATAAAAGGAAAATTCTTCAGTGAAATATATAGCATAAATAAAAAACAACCACAACTTCTGGAAATCAAGGACACACTTAGAGAAATGCCAAACGCACTGGGAAGTCTCAGCAATAGAATCGAACAAGCAGAAGAAAGAACTTCAGAGACAGAAGACAATGCTTTCGAATTAACCCAATCTGCCAAGATAAAGAAAAATTATTTTAAAAAAAATAAACAAAGCATCCGTGAAGGCTGGGTCTACGTTAAACATCCAAAGCTAAAAATAATTCGTGTTCCTGAGGAAGAAAAGAAATTTGAAAGTTTGGAAAACATATTTCAGGAAATAATCAAGGAAAACTTCCCCGGTCTTGCTAGAGATCTAGACATCCAAATCTCAAGAGGCTCAAAAATACCTGGGAAATTCATCATAAAAAGATGGCCCAGGCACATAGTCATCATTACCTAAAGTCAAGATGAAGGAAAGAATCTTAAGAGCTGTGGGGCAAAAGTATCAGGTAACCTATAAAGAAAAACCTATCAGATTAACAGTGTATCTTTCAGCAGAAACCCTACAAGCTAGAAGGGACTGGGGTCCTATATTTAGCCTCCTTCAACAAAACAATTATCAGCCAAGAATTTTGTATCCAGCAAAACTAAGCTTCATAAATGAAGGAGAGATAAAGTCTTTATCAGACAAACAAATGCTGGGAGAATTTGCCACTACCAAACCAGCACCACAAGTTCTAAATCTTGAAACAAAACCTCAAAATACACCAAAATGGAACTTCCTTAAAGCATATATCTCACAGGGCCTATATAACAATGATGCAATGAAAAAAAAAAACAAAAACAAAAAACTAAGGGATTAAGGCAACAACTAGCATGATGAAAACAACAGTACCTCACATCTAAATACTCACGTTGAATATAAATGGCCTAAATACTCCACTTAAAAGATACAGAATGGAAGAATGGATAAAAATCCACGAACCAAGGATCTGCTGTCATCAAGAGACTCACCTAACACAGAAGGACTCACATAAGATAAAGGGATGGAAAAAGATATTCCATGAAAATGGAAACCAAAAGCAAGCAAAGGTAGTTATCCTTTTTTTTTTTTTTTTTTTGAGACAGAGTCTCACTTCATCACCCAGGTTAGAGAGCAGTATGCAATCTAGACTCCCTACAACCTTCACCTCCTGGGTTCAGCTATTCTCCCACCTCAGCCTCCCAAGTAGCTGGGATTACAGGCGTGAGCCACCACACCTGGCTAATTTTTGTATTTTAGTAGAGACATGGTTTCACCATGTTTGCAAGGCTAGTCTTGAACTCCTGACCTCAAGCAATCCACCCACCTATGCCTCCCAAAGTGCTAGGATTACAGGTGTGAGCCACCACTTCCGGCCTAGAAGTAGTTATTCTTATATCAGACAAACTAGACTTCAAAGCAACAACAGTTAAAAAAGGACAAAGGAGGCCAGGTGTGGTGGCTCACGCCTGTAACCCCAGCACTTTGGAAGGCTGACACAGGTGGATCATAAGGGCAGGAGTTCGAGACCAGCATGGTGAAAACTCGTTTCTACTAAAAATACAAAAAATTAGCCAGGCATGGTGGTGTGTGCCTGTAATCCCAGCTACTCGGGAGGCTGAGGCAGGAGAATTGCTTGAACCTGGGAGGCAGAGGTTGCAGTGTGCCAAGGTCGCACCACTACACTCCAGCCTGGGTAACAGAGCAAGACTCTGTCTCCAACAAAAAAAAAAAGAAAGACAAAGAGGGATATTATATAACGATAAAAGGACTAGTACAACAGGAAAATGTGGCAATCCTAAATATATATGCACCTAACATTGAAGCTCCCAAATTTATAAAACAATTACTACTATGCCTAAGAAATGAGACAGACGGCAACACAATAATAGTGAGGGAACTTCAATAATCCACTGACAACACTAGACAGGTCACCAAGACAGAAAGTCAAGAAAGAAACAATGGACTTAAGACTATACCCTACAACAAATAGACTTAACAGATATTTACAGAACATTCTACCCAACAATTGCAGAATATACATTCTTTTCACCAGCAGATGGAACATTCTCCAAGACAGGCCATATGATACGCCATTAAACAAGACTCAATAAATTTATGAAAACTGAAATTATATGAAGTATCCTCTCTGACCACAGTGGAATAAAACTGGAGATTAACTCCAAGAGGAACCCTCAAAACTACATAAATACATAGAAATTAAATAATCTTCTCTTGAATGACGACTTCAAGTCAATAATGAAACCAAAATGGAAATTTTAAAATTCTATGAACTGAGGGGTAACAGTGACACAACTTATCAAAACCTCTGAGACAGAGCAAAAGCAGTGCTAAGAGGAAAGGTCACAGCATTAAATGCCTACATCAAAAAGTCTGAAAGAGCACAGACAATCTAAGGTCACACCTCAAGGAACTAGAGAACAAGAACAAACCAAACCTAAGCCCAGCAGAAGAAAATAAGTAACAAAGATCAGAGCAGAACTAAATGAAATTGAAACAAAAAATTACAAAAAATAAATGAAACAAAAAGCTGGTTCTTTAAAAAAAAATAAACAAAATCAATAGACCATTAGCAACATTAGCCAAGAAAAGAAGAGACAAGATCCAAATAAGCTCAATTAGAAATGAAACAGGAGATATTACAACTGATAACACAGAAATAGAAAAGATCATTCAAGGCTACTATGAACACTTTTACATGCACAAACTAGAAAATCCAGAGGAGATGGTTAATTTCCTAGAAATATAAAACTCTCCTAGATTAAATCAGGAAGATACAGAAACTCTGAACAGACCAATAACAAGTGGTGAGACTGAAACAGGAATGAAAAAATTGCCAACAAAAAAAAAGTCCAGTACCAGATGGATCTACAGCTGAATTATTTCAGACATTCAAAGAAATTTGGTACTACCGTTACTGAAACTATTCCTAAAGATAAAGAGGGAATCCTCCGTAAATCATTCTATGAAGCCAGTATCACCCTAACACCAAAACAAGGGAAGAATATAACAAAAAAAGAAAATTACAGACCAATATCCTTAATAAATATAGATGCAAAACTTCCCAACAAAATACTAGCTAACTGAATCTAACAGCCTATCAAAAAGGTAATACACCATGATCAAGTGGGTTTCATACCAGGGAAATCTACTGACCCTTGTGATGCAAGGATGATTCAACATATAAAAAATGTATTAATATACCACATTAACAGAATCAAAGATAAAAATCACATGATCATCTCAATAGATGCAGAAAAAGCATCTGACAAAAATCAACGCCCTTTCATTATAAAAACTCTCTACAAACAAGGAATAAAAAGAAAGTAACATAATAAAGACTGTATATGAAAAGCCCACAGCCAACATTATATTCAATAGCAAAAAACAGAAACTTTTCCTGAAAGATCAGGAACAAAGCAAGGATGCCCACTCTCCCTACTTCAGTTCAACATAGTACTGGAAATCCTAGCCAAAGCAATTAAGCAATAAATTAAATGCTTAATAAAATAAAAAAAATACATCCAAATCAGAAAGGAAGTAGTAAAATTGTCCCTTTTGGGCCAGGCACAGTGGCCCATGCCTATAATCCCAGCACTTTGGGAAGCCGAGGTGGGCGGATCACTTGAGGTCAGGAGCTTGAGACCAGCCTAGCCAACATGGTGAAACCCCATCTCTACTAAAAATACAAAAGTTAGTCAGGTGTGGTGGCAGGCACCTATAATCCCAGCTACTTCGGAGGCTGAGGCAGGAGAATCACTTGAACCTGGGAGGCGGAGGTTGCACTGACCCAAGACTGTGCCCCTGCACTCCAGCCTGGGAAACTGTGCGAGACTCCGTCTCAAAAAAAAAAAAAAAAAAAAGAAAGAAAACTCGCAAGATTCCATTTTTAAAAAACTGTTAGAATAAACAAATTGAGTAAAGTAGCAGGATACAAAATCAACATATAAAAATCAGTAATGTTTCCATACACTAACTATCTGAAAAGGACATTAGGAAAACAATCTCATTTACAATAGAAAAAAATTAACTACCTAGGAATAAACTTGAATGAGGTGACAGGTTTGTTTATTGAAAACCAGAAAACAATGAATGAAATTAAACAAGACACACAAAAAAACAGAAACACCTATGCTCACGTTTTGTTAAGACTTAGTATTTTTAAATGCCAATATTACTCAAAGTGATCTATAAATTCTACGCAATCACTATCAAAATTCCAGTGGTATTTTTTATAGAAATGGAAAAACGATTCTAAAATTCATATGGAACCACAAAAGACCATAAATAGCCAAATCAATCTTGTAAAAGAACAAAGCTGGAGGCATCATACTTCCTGATTTCAAAATATATTAATATTACAAAGCTACCATAATCTAAACAGTATGGTATTGGCATAAAGACGGACATATAGAGCCACAAGAACACAGAAAGAAAGCCTAGAAATAAGTCCACACACATATGGTCAACTGATCTTCAACAAAGATGCCAAGAATATACAATGAGGAAAGGAATGGCATCAGGAAAACTTCATATCTACATGTAAAAACCTAAAAAAAATAAACTGGGCCCTTTTCTTACACCATACACAAAAATCAACTGAAAATGATTTAATAAACCTAAGACATGAAACTAAAACTCTTAGAAGAAAACATACAGGAAAAGCTTCATGACACTGGTGTCGGCGATTATCTCAAGGATTTAATACCAAAAGCATAAGCAACCAAAACAAAAATAAACAAGTGGGACTACATCAAACTAAAAAGCTTCTACGCAGCAAAAGAAACAATTAACAGAGTAAAAGGCAACCTACGGAATGAGAGAAAATATTTGCAAACATCTGACAAGGGGCTAGTCTCCAAATATATAAAGAACTCCAATAATTCAACAGTAAAAAAACACAAATAACTCAACTTAAAAATGTGCTAAGGACATCAACAGACATTTCTCCAAACATATACAAATGGGCAGTAAGCACATGAAAAGATGCTCATCATTAACCATTAGGGAAATGAAAATCAAAACCACAACACAATATTACCTCACACCTGTAAGGAAAACTATTATCAAAAAACCAAAACAAAACAAAACACAACTACTGTTGGTGAGGATGTGAAGAAATTGGAATCCTGTTGGTGGGAATGCAAAATGGTGCAGCCACTATGGAAAAAAGTATGAAGCTTCCTCAAAAATTTAAAAACAGAACTACCATATATTCCAGAAGTCCCACTTTGGGGTATTTATCCAAAAGAATGAAATCAGGATCTCAAACGGATATTACCACTCCGATGTTCACCACAACACTATTCACAATGTGATAGTGATAGCTGCAGAAACCTAATGTCCACCAACAGATGAAAGGATTTTTAAAATGTGGAATATATGTACAATGGAATACTATGTAGCCTTAAAAAAGAAACTCTAGGCCGGGCGTGGTAGCTCATGCCTGTAATCCTAGCACTTTGGGAGGCTGAGGCAGGCGGATCACCTGCAGTAAGGAGTTCGACAACAGCCTGGTTAACATGGTAAAACCCCTTCTCTACTATAAAAATTAGCTGGGTGTGGTAGTGGGCGTCTATAATCCCAACTACTCGGGAGGCTGAGGCAGGAGAATCGCTTGAACCTGGGAGGCAGAGGTTGTAGTAAGCTGAGATCGCGCCATTGCACTCTAGCCTCGGCGAAAAGAGCAAAACTCTCTCAATAAAAAAAAAAGAAAGAAAGAAAGAAATTCTAAAATTCTAGCGATCTCGGACTCCCTGGACACTCCCTCCAGCCCAGCCTCTCTAGCTCCGCCTGTGATGCGTGCTCCTGCCTCCAACTCAAAATGCCTGCGTGGAGAGGTGGAAACAAGTGTGGGGTCTGCGGGAGGGCCGTGCACCACGCAGAAGAGGTGCAGTGTAATGGCAGGAGCTTCCACCGCTACTGCTTTTTGTTTGTTTGTTTGTTTGTTTAAGACGGAGTCTTGCTCTGTTGCCCAGGCTGGAGTGCAGTGGCGCGATCTAGGCTCACGGTAAGCTCCGCCTCCCGGGTTCACGCCATTCTCCTGCCTCAGCCTCCCGAGTAGCTGGGACTACAGGCACCCGCCACCATGCCTGGCTAATTTTTTTGTATTTTTAGTAGAGACCGGGTTTCACCATGTTAGCCAGGATGGTCTCGATCTCCTGACCTCATGATCCGCCCGCCTCGGCCTCCCAAAGTGCTGGGATTACAGGCGTGAGCCACCGCGCCCGGCCCACTGCTGCTGCTTTCTATGCATGATTTGCAGGAATAATTTAGATAGCAAGACAGTGGCAATTCATGATTAAGAGATTTACTGCAAATCCTGCTATGGAAAGAAGTATGGGCCAAAAGGCTACAGTTTATGGCCAGGGCGCTGGCATACTTAACATGGACCGTGGTGAGAGCCTGGGCATCAAGCCAGAGTGTTCAGCCTCACATGCCTACAAGCAAATCCAAAGACTTCTAAATTTGCTCAGAAATACAGAGGTGCTGAGAAGTGTTCCAGATGTGGGGATTCCGTACATGCTGCTGAGAAGGTAACTGGAGCTGGAAAGCCCTGGAACAAAAACTATTTCCGATGTGCAAAGTGTGGGAAGAGTCTTGAATCAACAACTCCTGACTGAAAAAGAAGGTGAAATCTATTGTAAAGGGTGCTATGCAAAGAACTTTGGGCCCAAGGGATTTGGCTATGGCCAAGGAGAGGGCTCTTGTTCATGCCCAGTAAGGTGTAAACCCAGAACCAAGCATCACACACTGAGAATCTCTTCATAATCTAGGCACAGATAATCTTTCTAAACTACTGCAAAATTCTACCAGCATTAAGTACTATATATTACCCTGTACTCGGATAGGCTGGCTAACTCGTAGGAAGGGAGCACTATATCTTATCCTTTTGCTTTATTCGCCAGCATTTTTTGGGAACCATTTCTTTTACAATTTAAATAAAACTTCAGCTTGAAAAAAAAAAGAAATTCTACAAAATGGCACAACATGGGTGAATCTTGAGGACACCATGCTAAGTGAAATAAGCCAGTCACAAAAAGACAAATGACTGCATAACTCCACTATCTAAAATAATACAAATTCATAAAAATCAAAGAGTGGAATGATGGTTAGCAGAGGCTGGGAGAAGGGGAAATGGAGAGTAGCTAATCAAAGCTCATGAAGTTTCAGTCAGTCAAGATGAATAAGCACTAGAGAGCTGCTGTACAACATTGTACCTATAGCCAACAATAATGTATACTTTAAAATTCATTAAGAGGCTAGATCTCTTTACCACAATATTTTTAAGAGAATATTTTTGCAAGTAAAACAAAAAAGTTTTCACCTGATCCCAAGTTTTACTAGTGTTTTTAAATGTCGAGGTAAAATAAAAGCAAAAGTTTTACATCTTAATTTTTAGCACACACTACCATGTAAGCAAGATTCAGAAATAATACTCTGGCACTCATTCCCAGCTGTTATGTGTTAAACACAATTGCAAACCATCTATAACACAACAAAATCTAAAGTCTTACTTAGATAAAACAAATCCAAAGGCGTTCACATATTATTAATCTGCTTTTAAAAAAAAGAAATGTCTTTTACCTGGTAGTTAAGTTTATCTTCATAGAATCCACTATTCTCCTCAACTGCAATGGGATAATATGCCAACAAATCCATCATAAGTTGAAAGTAACAAGTCAAAAATGCATTTCATACACCTAACCTACCGAAGCGAACATCATAGCTTAGCATAGCCTATTTTAAACACACTCAGCAACACTTACATTAGCCTACAGTTGAGCAAAATAATCTAATACAAAGCCTATTTTATAAAGTGTTGACTATCTCATGTATTTAATAAATAATACTGTACTGAAAGTGAAGAACAGAAGTACAGTTTCTACTGAATGTCTACTGCTTTCACACCATCGTGAAGTTGAAAAATCCTAAGTCAAACCATCACAAGTCACGGACTTGTGTGTACTTCATTTATAGTAACCAATGACCTTAGCTGCTTTAAGGATATAATCAGGGAAGTGAAATCAGTCAGTACACATTGATTTACAAAAGCTATGTTTAGAAAAACCAATCCTCAACATGAGTAAGAAAAGTGGGCAAGAAAACACCATTTGTATGGTTTTTGGACAATAAAAAGATAGAGAACTGAGAGCTGAATAAAAAAAGAAAAAGAAAAATTGAGCTGTCGAGTGGCTGAATAAAAAAAGAAAAAGGAGAACTGAGGGGTCAAGTTACACATAAAGGTAAGACATTAAAGATTCAAACAGTCCTCCACTTCATTAATCAGGGAACTTGAATTCTGCCTGCAATGGTACCAGCTGTTTCCCCGCTAAGGCAAAAGAAATTGGTACTGCAGCAATACATAATGGCTTTGAAAAGAAAAAAAGAAGAAAGAAAAAATATATATATAAATTTAAGCACAAATTTAATCTTTAACCCTACTAATCAATCACCTTTTGGGCCCGTCCTCCAAGAAAATCATAGTTTCGACCTCACTTTATTTTTTTATTTATTTTTATTTTTTGAGATGGAGTCTTGTTCTGTTGCCCAGGCTGGAGTGCAGTGGCGCGATCTCTGCTCACTGCAACCTCTGCCTCCCAGGTTAAAGCAATTCTTCTGTCTCAGCCTCCCAAGTAGCTGGGATTACAGGCACATGCAGCCATGCCTGGCTAATTTTTTGTTTTTTTTTTTTTTTGAGTAGAGACAGGGTTTCACCGTGTTGCCCAGGCTGGTCTCAAACTCCTAAGCTCAGGCAATCCACCCACCTCAGCCTCCCAAAGTGCTAGGATTACAGGCGTGAGCCACTGTGCCTGGCCTCCACCTCACTTTAAATACTCATACTCCATGAGGATCTCTAAAAGGAATGTTACCTAATAGGAGACTATAAGAATCCTATTTATTAACTATACTTAAATATTCTGTTGTCACAAATAAGTTTGCTTTACATGTCCCAGTAATGCTGCCCTTCACATATAAGGATGGCTAATCCTCTGTTATTAAGATACATAACCCATTTATTTAGTGACAGTGGATTTGGACTGACTCAGAACGCCTCAGGCTAAATATAAATGGCTAAATATAAAATCTAAAACCACACTACTGAAGTGGCATATGTAGAAGAGGTCTACCACTGAGTCCCTTTGTCTGAAATGCTTGTAGCACATTTCTGCAGGCAAAAGCCAGGTCCAGCCTGCACACTCCATACCCTACACTAAGCTTTTAGGCCTCATTCCTTCTATGAGCTTTTTTGTGTTGGCTTGCGACAACCCTGAACCGATTACTCACACTCAGTCCCCTACCACGTAACTATCACTGCTCATCCAAACGTGTTTTTCCCTCAACTACACTATAAACTCAATAGCTACAAGAACTGCAGGTCACACAAACCAACACTCACTATGCCTGGCATATAGCTGGTACTCAGTAACTGCTAAATAAAAGGATAAATGAAAAACTAAGCTAAGTAACAGACTTTTTCCCTAATTTTTCAACTAACACTATATCCCTAAACAAAAACTGTACATTCTTATAATTAAGAATGAATTAGGCCGGGCGCAGTAGCTCATACCTGTAATTCCAGCATTTTGGGAGTCTGAGGCGGGTGGATCACTTGAGGTCAGGAGTTCGAGACCAGCCTGGCCAACATGGTAAAACCCTGTCTCTACTACAAATACAAAAATTAGCTGGACGTAGTGGCAGGCGCCTTTAATCCTAGCTACTTGGGAGGCTGAGACAAGAGAATCGCTTGAACCCAGGAGGCGGAGGTTGCAGTGAGCCAAGATCACGCCATTGCACTCCAGCCTGGGCAACAGAGTGAAACATCGTCTCAAGGGGGGGAAAAAAAAAAAACCCAGAATGAATTAATCCCAGTAAGTTCACAATTAACTCTTTTCTTTCCCAATCTTTACTAAGAGGTAGGAAGGAACCCTCCTGTCATCCAAAGCAACAAACAAGTCAAAGAAGATTCAACAATCCAACTGCTTTCCCGTAGGTGCTAATGCTCTATTTGCTCTGTATTATAACAACTGCAGAATATCCAGATGGTTCTCATACTTATTCACAAATAATTGGGCTTCTTCTATTGAAATCTATGTTCCCCATGTTTTCATGTTCAAGGTATGTTATGGGGTAGGGAGGTAGAACGTGAAAGGGATGGGCAATCAAAATCTTAGTCAAGCAAGTTAGTCCCACCTACACAACTACTTGCCTAACATCTATCAGTAATTCACATTTATGTTTTTAATTCCTTGCTTCAACTTCCAATCCTTTTATTAAGATATAATCAAAGACACCCTCTACTTAGGAGGCTAAAGCAGAAGATCAAGAGTTCAAGCCCAAGCTAGGCAAAATACCAAGACCCCATTTCCTTGCCCCCCAAAAAAGACAAAGACACCCCAGAATGATATTATTGAACACAAAGTAGCCAAAAGTAATTCAACATGAGTTACTAACCTGAATGGGTTTTTTCTTGTAAAACTATAGGGCTTGGCTGGTCTGAAGGCAGTTGAGTTATCTCAACTGATTGTTCACAGTCAGTTACAGATCCAACACCTTTCTACTCTTTCTCCCTTCTCACTGAAATGCACTTGACTAGTTAAAACAAATCAAAAAAAAAACAAACAAAAAAACCTATATGGCTTAAGCCTTAAACTAAAGAACAAAAATGTTTAGCTATGAAACTTTCACAGGGCACTTTCATTTTAAAAGATCAACTATTTATCCTTAAAGGATCTGCAAGAAATACACTGTTTTTAGTTTGAAGCTTTGAGTTAAAAAAAAAGTCTAAAACTCTACTGATTTCACATTTAGTCATTTATATGTTATCACAGTAACAGTTGGAGGAAACATAATAGGAAGAAGAGTACTAAGGAGGAGGAGGAGGAGGGAAAGAGCAGGTTTGCCCGTTAAGCTGCTAAGTACCAGTGCTTGATGCTGAGTGCTTTATTTCTAATACTTCACTTAATCCTCGGAAAACAATCTGAAGAGGGCATTATTTTTACTACTTTTTTAGATAGGGAAATTAAAGATTAAAGAAGTAATGTGCCCAACACAAAAAGAAATTAACAAAACTAGTAAGTGATATGGCCAGGAACCGAACCATTGTGTAACACTAAAAGTCCTCCTTCTTAACTATTGTACAATATTTAAATTAGTCAGGTCATCCAAAAGTTTCAAAGTAAATCCAGTTTAGGGGACTAATTTTAGTATAGTGAGACTAGATTTAAGATCTAAGAATACAGGCTTCTTTTTAACCAAAAGCAAACTTAGTGCAAAGAATCTTTTCATCCTTCCACCTCCCCTCTTCCCCCATACACACACCAAAAAAATCTTAAATAAATACAGCAGATTTTAACTTTGGAAAAGGAGAAAACAATCATTTAAAAACAGCATGTCTTAAGTACAGTAAGGCTGTACAGTCTTCTGATGCCAACAAGACATTTTATAAACACTGTCACATGAAAATACACAGCTAAACTGCATAATTTCTGACAGGTGGGCCAGTAGTATTAATAACTCAGTACCACTAGGTATGCCACGAGGCTCTATTCTGTTAATATTTTATCAACAACTCAGATAAATACTGAATAGCATACTTATCCAAGATGACATTAACTCAAGGCTGGAGAGGGATACCCACCTTGCCTCATAACCAAAACAAAATTCTTTTTTTTTTTTAAATTTATTTATTTTTTATTATACTTTAAGTTTTAGGGTACATGTGCACATTGTGCAGGTTAGTTACATATGTATACATGTGCCATGCTGGTGTGCTGCACCCACTAACTCGTCATCTAGCATTAGGTATATCTCCCAATGCTATCCCTCCCCCCACCCCACAACAGTCCCCAGAGTGTGATATTCCCCTTCCTGTGTCCATGTGGTCTCATTGTTCAATTCCCACCTATGAGTGAGAATATGTGGTGTTTGGTTTTTTGTTCTTGCGATAGTTTACTGAGAATGATGATTTCCAATTTCATCCATGTCCCTACAAAGGACATGAACTCATCATTTTTTATGGCTGCATAGTACTCCATGGTGTATATGTGCCACATTTTCTTAATCCAGTCTATCATTGTTGGGCATTTGGGTTAGTTCCAAGTTTTTGCTATTGTGAATAATGCCGCAATAAACATACATGTGCATGTGTCTTTATAGCAGCATGATTTATAGTCATTTGGGTATATACCCAGTAATGGGATGGCTGGGTCAAATGGTATTTCTAGTTCTAGATCCCTGAGGAATCGCCACACTGACTTCCACAATGGTTGAACTAGTTTACAGTCCCACCAACAGTGTAAAAGTGTTCCTATTTCTCCACATCCTCTCCAGCACCTGTTGTTTCCTGACTTTTTAATGATTGCCATTCTAACTGGTGTGAGATGGTATCTCATTGTGGTTTTGATTTGCATTTCTCTGATGGCCAGTGATGATGAGCATTTTTTCATGTGTTTTTTGGCTGCATAAATGTCTTCTTTTGAGAAGTGTCTGTTCATGTCTTTCGCCCACTTTTTGATGGGGTTGTTTGTTTTTTTCTTGTAAATTGGTTTGAGTTCATTGTAGATTCTGGATATTTGCCCTTTGTCAGATGAGTAGGTTGCGAAAATTTTCTCCCATTTTGTAGGTTTCCTGTTCACTCTGATGGTAGTTTCTTTTGCTGTGCAGAAGCTCTTTAGTTTAATTAGATCCCATTTGTCAATTTTGTCTTTTGTTGCCATTGCTTTTGGTGTTTTGGACATGAAGTCCTTGCCCATGCCTATGTCCTGAATGGTAATGCCTAGGTTTTCTTCTAGGGTTTTTATGGTTTTAGGTCTAACGTTTAAATCTTTAATCCATCTTGAATTGATTTTTGTATAAGGTGTAAGGAAGGGATCCAGTTTCAGCTTTCTACATATGGCTAGCCAGTTTTCCCAGCACCATTTATTAAATAGGGAATCCTTTCCCCATTGCTTGTTTTTCTCAGGTTTGTCAAAGATCAGATAGTTGTAGATATGCGGCGTTATTTCTGAGGGCTCTGTTCTGTTCCATTGATCTATATCTCTGTTATGGTACCAGTACCATGCTGTTTTGGTTACTGTAGCCTTGTAGTATAGTTTGAAGTCAGGTAGTGTGATGCCTCCAGCTTTGTTCTTTTGGCTTAGGATTGACTTGGCGATGCGGGCTCTTTTTTGGTTCCATATGAACTTTAAAGTAGTTTTTTCCAATTCTGTGAAGAAAGTCATCGGTAGCTTGATGGGGATGGCACTGAATCTGTAAATTACCTTGGGCAGTATGGCCATTTTCACAATATTGATTCTTCCTACCCATGAGCATGGAATGTTCTTCCATTTGTTTGTATCCTCAATTTATAGCACTAAATGCCCACAAGAGAAAGCAGGAAAGATCCAAAATTGACACCCTAACATCACAATTAAAAGAACTAGAAAAGCAAGAGCAAACACATTCAAAAGCTAGCAGAAGGCAAGAAATAACTAAAATCAGAGCAGAACTGAAGGAAATAGAGACACAAAAAACCCTTCAAAAAAATCAATGAATCCAGGAGCTGGTTTTTTGAAAGGATCAACAAAATTGATAGACCACTAGCAAGACTAATAAAGAAAAAAAGAGAGAAGAATCAAATAGACACAATAAAAAATGATAAAGGGGATATCACTACCGATCCCACAGAAATACAAACTACCATCAGAGAATACTACAAACACCTCTACGCAAATAAACTAGAAAATCTAGAAGAAATGGATAAATTCCTCAACACATACACGCTCCCAAGACTAAACCAGGAAGAAGTTGAATCTCTGAATAGACCAATAACAGGAGCTGAAATTGTGGCAATAATCAATAGTTTACCAACCAAAAGGAGTCCAGGACCAGATGGATTCACAGCCAAATTCTATCAGAGGTACAAGGAGGAACTGCTACCATTCCTTCTGAAACTATTCCAATCAATAGAAAAAGAGGGAATCCTCCCTAACTCATTTTATGAGGCCAGCATCATTCTGATACCAAAGCCGGGCAGAGACACAACCAAAAAAGAGAATTTTAGACCAATATCCTTGATGAACATTGATGCAAAAATCCTCAATAAAATACTGGCAAAACGAATCCAGCAGCACATCAAAAAGCTTATCCACCATGATCAAGTGGGCTTCATCCCTGGGATGCAAGGCTGGTTCAATATACGCAAATCAATAAATGTAATCCAGCATATAAACAGAGCCAAAGACAAAAACCACATGATTATCTCAATAGATGCAGAAAAAGCCTTTGACAAAATTCAACAACGCTTCATGCTAAAAACTCTCAATAAATTAGGTATTGATGGGACGTATTTCAAAATAATAAGAGCTATCTATGACAAACTCACAGCCAATATCATACTGAATGGGCAAAAACTGGAAGCATTCCCTTTGAAAACTGGCACAAGACAGGGATGCCCTCTCTCACCACTCCTATTCAACAAAGTGTTGGAAGTTCTGGCCAGGGCAATTAGGCAGGAGAAGGAAATAAAGGGTATTCAATTAGGAAAAGAGGAAGTCAAATTGTCCCTGTTTGCAGACGACATGATTGTATATCTAGAAAACCCCATTGTCTCAGCCCAAAATCTCCTTAAGCTGATAAGCAACTTCAGCAAAGTCTCAGGATACAAAATCAATGTACAAAAATCACAAGCATTCTTATACACCAAGAACAGACAAACAGAGAGCCAAATCATGAGTGAACTCCCATTCACAATTGCTTCAAAGAGAATAAAATACCTAGGAATCCAGCTTACAAGGGATGTGAAGGACCTCTTCAAGGAGAACTACAAACCAAAACAAAATTCTAACAAGCTGATTATCAGGCAGAATCAACGAGAAGAGGCAATATACCACCACCTCAACATTTACAAAAGCATACACGTATACTTATGAGAAATAAATGTAAAAACCTACTACTAGCTGGGTGCCGTGGCTCATGCCCGTAATCGCAGCACTTTAAGAGGCCAAGGCAGCAGGATCACTTGCACCCAGGAGTTCAAGACCAACCTGGGCAACATAGTGAGACCCTAACTCTATTGACAATAAATAAATATAAATATAAATATATATATAAAACCTACTACTATACCGAAAAACCAACTACTAACATACCAGATGCTAAGGCTCTACAATAATAATTCAGACAAACACATGGGTTAAGTTGACCTCATACATCATTTAAAGAGCTGTAAAAGCATTCTCAGTGTAAACCTGTTGCTAAAAAGGTAAACATTATCCTAAACTGCATTATGAGAAAGATAGCTTTTTAGTCCAAGCGAGTCAATGAGCCTAGACTATTTCACAACAATCCAACCATACCTTGAGAAGTCTATATTCAGTTTAGGGCATCATTAGAGCCTGCTACCAAGCATGGCATACTATGGTGACATTTCTGGAAATGAGGTCTTAAGATGATCAGTGGAAGGAATTAGGAATATTCGGCCTAGAGAAGTATGAAGGGCAGTACCTGACCATTAATTGGATTTCAATAAAGATTTCTAAATAAAGGATATGACAGGTATCTTCAAATATTTTAAGATATGTTACATGAAACATGACATTCTCCCTAAAGACAGAACCAGCATCAACAGATAAAAAGTTTCCAATCACCAGGAAGTTTCTAGGAGAGATGTTGGTGCCATTTCTATATGGGGTGGGAAATTGGTCCCCTCACCTTAAAAATTCTAGGAATGGTCTGGCAAAATCCAGAGGGATCTCACTGCCTCCTTACTGCCTGTGGTACTAAGGTTTCTGAAAATGTATCAGTAACCTTTGTTAAGGGAGATACTATGAAATGGTTACCTTCTTCACTGAACCTTAAGTTCCAGAGCATGAACCCAAAGAACAGTGGCATAATCAGGCTTCAATGCTCTTAAGTATTCTTAAATATTCTTTGTACTTAAAGAATTAAATATTCTTAAATATTCTTCATTTGATAAATTAAAAACTAGCACAATCACAACTCTTAAAAGATAAATCTTATTTTTCTCCCATACTTACAATATGTAGAAATGAAAAATATGGTTCCAAATACTATTAAATATTTGTACCCAAGAACTAATTCTAATCCATTTTCCACACAGCAATAAAAATCACAATAAAATGCATTTACCTCTGGATACCAACAGGGATTATATACAAAACAATCAAACTGCTCTAGAGACCAACAGATATTATATATAAAACAATCAAACTGACAGAAAAAAACAAATATTTTATTCCTAAAGAGTAGTATTAATTTTAATTTTACTTGCACTACTGAGTCATTCTTAATGATTTTTCAGAAAACAAAAACCTGCTCATTGTTTTAAAAAAAGTCAAGTAATGAGAAAGGATTTAATGAGATTTCCAGTTCTACTGCCCAGAAGTAATCTCTGTTAACTATTTCTGTGTATACTGCCAGCCATTTTCTATACAGGTGTGTATACAAGTATTTCTGGTGTTTTTTTTTTTTAATTTCTAATAGAACCACACAATAACAAATTTTGTCATTCAATACATCTTGGACTCCATGTCACCTTACATACTAACCTGCCTCATTCTTTTCAGTGGCTCACAGGGCATTTCATTGTATGCAGTACTTCAATTTTAACTAGTCCTCTTGATGATATTTAGGCTGACTCCTGTCTTTTGGTATTACAAATGTTGCTGCAGTAAACATCCTGTACAAACTTCTTGGTATATTTGTGCAAGTACAGGTACAGAATACATTTCTGAAAGTGAAACTTTGGTTGTTCATATTTTTTATTCTGATAGCTACTGCTACTGATCTCCAAAGGGACTGTGTCAAAAACTTCAAACTCAGAAGCTTCTATTTTCCCCACAGTCTAGCCAAGACTAGTCATCACTACACTCTAATCTTTGCCAATCTGACAAGTGAAAAATTATAATTTTGTTTTTAATTTGCATTTCTTCATGACTGAGGTTGAACATCTTTTCATGTACCTTTTGGCCTTCTATTTCTGTGAAATGCTTGTTACCTAGAATAAGGTCACACCCAAACATAGTACTCAAAAAGTCTTATGTTTGTACCTAAGTAAGAATATTATATTCTCAAAGTAAAGGACAATTCAAGGCAATGCTTATGAAAATTCCAACTGCCTTTTTAACAGAAATGGACAAACTGATTCTAAAATTCATATGGAAATGCAAGGGATCCAGAATAGACAAAACAATCTGAAAAAAAAAAAAAAGAAAGGCAGACACTGTTAAAGGTCTCACACTTCCAGTTTCAAAATTAACTTACTACAAAACCTACAGTAATCAAAACATTATGGTACTTACATCAGCAAAGACATATAAACCAACAGAATAGAATTCAGAGTCTAGAAATAAACCCATAATTTCTGGTCAATTGATTTTTGACAAGGGTGCCAAGACATTCAATGGAAAAAGAATAGTCTTTTTAACAAACAGTATTGGGATAACTGGATATTCTATGCAAAAGAATGAAGGTGGGCCCTTATGTCACATCATATGCAAAAATGAACTCAAAATGGATCAAGCGTGAGAGTTAAACTATAAAATTCTTATAATCTTCATCACATTGAATCAGGCAATGGTTTCCTAGATATATAAAGCACAAACAATAAAAGAAACACATATATAAATTGGACTTCATCACAATTTTAAAAGTTTCTGATGTAGAGGATACCATTCAGAAAGTGAACAGGTAATCCACAGAATGGGAGAAATATTTACAAACCATATCTCTGATAATTATCTTATAAACATTGCTGCAGTGAACACTCTTAGGTAAACATCTTTGTATACTGGTACAAGTATAGAATATATTCCTATCCAGTATCCAGAATAAACGTATGTGTGTGTGTGTGTGTGTGTGTACACACATATATATAAAGAACTCTTACAACTCAACAAAAAAGTAAATAACCAAATTACAAAATGGTCAAAAGATTTGAATAGACATTTCTCCAAAGATATACAAATAACCAATAAGCACATCACACTTCCTAGTTGCAAAACTAACTTATCGCAAAATCTACAGTAACCAAAACATTGTGGTACTTGGATCTGCAAAGACTTATAAACCAACAGATTAGAAGTCAGAGTGCAGAAATGATTTTTGCATATGCTGTGAGATAAGAGTCCACCTTCATTCTTTTGCATGAAGAATCCATGCAAAAGATCCTTGACACATCATTAGTCATTTGGGAAACGCAAATCAAAACTACAATGTGAAACCACTTCATACCCCCTAGGATGCAATGGAAAAAAAAAAAAAAAACAGCAAAATGTTGGAGAGGATGTGGAGAAATTAATTAAAAGAAAGCCTCATACACTGCTAGTGGGAATGAAAAAATGGTTCAACCACTATGGCAGTTACTCAATAAATTAAAGATAGAATTACCATGACCCAGCACTTCTACTCCTAAGTATACACCTGAAAAAACTGAAAACATGTTTACACAAAAACCCATACATGAATGCTCACAATAGTGTTATTTTTTGACAAAAAGTAGAAACTGATGAATAAACAAAATGTGTATATCCATACAATGGAATATTATTTCATCGCAAAAAGAAATGAAGTACTAACACGTGCTAGAAGCCAGACATAAAAGGTCACATATTGTATGATTCAATTTATATGAAATACCCAGAACAGGCAAATCCATAAAGACAAAGTAGATTAGTGGTTACCAGGGGCTAGCGAAAGGGGAGAATGGGAAGTGACTGCTAATGGGTAAGGGGTTTCTTTCTGGGGTGATAAAAATGTTCTAGAATTATATCAATATACAATTTTGTGACTATACTAAAAACCACTGAATTATACACTTTAAAATGACAAATTTTGTGGTAAGTGATTCTATCTTGAAAAAGAAAAACCCAGTAAAGGACAGGGTCTACAAAATACTTCATGATTTACCACAGCTATGAGAGAATTAGTATTCATACTGTAGGTGGCTCCGGGTCTAAAACTGTGCATACAGAACAAATAAGATTTAGTCGATGGGCATGATTTCAAGCACTGACAGTTATGGGGCCACAGCTGATATCAATTCCCAAGTGTAAACGATGTAGAAATGAGAGCTGAAACTAAGGAACCAGGCAAGCAAGCCCAAGAGAATGATTGCCAAAGCACATGTCCTTTAACTGCTGTCTGGCAAAGCAATTACAGCTGTACCCAACCTTAAGCAAATCCAGTCCTTTTAAGAACACATCTTTATCATAAATAAATGGGAGAGGGATACTGTGCTATGATGAAACAGGATGTAGGAGGAACTTAAAACAGCATACAAACAATAACAAGTGAACCTAATTTTATTACAAGTGACTAACATAACCCTTAGGCAGGGATGAAAAGAACCCAAGTAACTTCTGAAAACAGAATTTGCCTGTATACCATAAAGTTAAAGACAAATATTGTACTCTAGTTTAAAACTGTGTTTCTCACCAGGGAATGAATAGGTCACTAATTCTAAAACTACTTTTGTTTGTGTGTACTCGGATGAAACAAGTAAGTCAATATACTGTGGTTGAGAACAGTTTCTCACCTTTGGAGAAGGAAGTAACAAAGAAAGAGAAAAGGGCTGAACAGGAAAAAAGACCAAAATGGACCCTATGGTGGAAGAACAGAACTGGCAGCATCACTGGCAGTTTTTTATTTATATACATAGATGGATAGATAAGAAAATAAAAACATATGTGTTCATACATGTTACCAAACATATACACTGCTAGCTCTATCTACTAAGAGAGCCTAGAAGCAATGACACCCAGTAGCATGGAGCACACCTGGCACCCAGATCTTGGTTTCTAGATATCATTCTCTAGTAAAATGAACTCAGCTCCCTGGAAAAATGGTTGATTCCATGGCTGGTGCAAGCAGGAAAAATACAAGATACACCCAGAACATCATGTGATACCAGAAAGTAAATTAGTGCTCACAAAATGAGAGAGGGTATTGTAGAAAAGACACAGGAACAAATTTTCAAGTGCCCTCAATAACCAAAGCGAGAATGACTTGAGCAACAATTACTGGATTTTAACCCATAAGGCAAAATATCCACAAAGCCATGTAAATAAATTAATTGGATAATTAATAAGTAAAGAGGACAGTACTTCCTTAATTGTAGAATTCCAAATATAGTAAGAATGAGTGAAATAGAAAACTCGCCATTAAGCAAAGACCAAAGCAGTAATAACTGCTGCCAGTTAAGAACCATTGATAGATAGCAAAACTTGCCCATGTAAAGTATGATGGAACACAGGATATTGCAAAACTGGCCCATGATAAGTATGATGGGACACAGTATATTTGCAGTACCTCCCCACTAGAGGAAGGTATTAATTACAAAGGAATTACTAATTATTATACAACTACAAGGTTAAAATGAACATTTATTATTACAAAGGAAAAAGCAGTAACTTTACAATGAAGAAATCTGGCAGACACAGCCTTAACCAAGTGATCACATTAACTTCACCCATCATAAGACATGCTAATCACGGGTGAAGATCTGACAACCCCATATTGAGAAACATTCTAAAAAATAACTAACAGTACTCTTCAAAAGTGTCAGTAACATTTATAAAAGATGAGAGAAAAAAAAGACTGAAAAGCTTAACAGATGGGAGGAGACTAACATGATGATAACTAAATGCAAGGTAGGATCCCAAATTGGATCCTGAACTAGAAAAAGGATAGTTTATAAATGTGAATGTCCTGGTTTTAATAATTATACTATGGTTATATAAGATGTTAACATTAGGAGTAACTGGGCAAAAGATATCCAGGACCTCTTTGTACTATTTTTATACCTTTTATGTAAGTCTAAAGTTATTTCAAATTTTAAAAATCAACATAATTTTAGAAGATTTTAGAAAAACCTCTCAAAGTAAAGTAAATCTTTCTACCATAATTGAATTTGCATCCAACAGTTAACTACATCTGAATTATACTGCCACTCTGGGAAGAATTTGGCATTTTTTGATCATTAAATTAAAAAGTGGGCATAATACTCCATCTACTGATACATCTGTTTGTATAAATTATTCTAGGTTTGAAAGAAATTTGGTACAAGGATGGAGGAAAGGGGTATCATACCATCTACATATTTTTTAAACCCGTCCATTTTGTTGCCATCCTATATTAAGCATGCAACCAGTGTTTTTTAAAGCCTTCAGTGAGCAACAATTATTTTACTAGCAATACAGAAGATGGAAAGGAAAGGAAAGGAAAGGAAAGGAAAGGAAAGGGGAAAGGGGAAATGGGAAAGGGGAAAGAGGAAAAAGGAAAGGAAAGGGGGGAGGAAGGGGCAGAAGGAAAGAAGGGAGGGAGGGAGAGAAAGAAAGAAAGTTTTTTTAGATTCCTTTATACCTTCTCCTAATACCTCCCCCACCATGACCAATGACATTCATTTCATAAAGCAGCTAACTGGTGAACCTAATTTTACAGGCTATGACAAACCAAACCCTTATGAAAAGACATTATGGTGGCATTCTTAACACCCTGTGCTTCCAGACCTAAATAACTACAGGTACAATGGGGAGCCACGTAAGCCTTTAAAAGCAGTTGACAGTCAAATACAATTTAATATCATTTAAAGCTACCAACTTTGAATCCTATAGGGTTAAGTTAACCGATAATTTATTTGCTGTCACAAAATGTACTCTGTTATTATTTTCCATGTTTAAGTGGTGTTCCTCAAAAGCTAATTTTTCTAACCAACTAATTAATGAATGGAATATTTAAATAATCTTAGTTTAAGATGAAAAACAGGCAGGTTATTTCTAAATTCCACCTGCAATTAATAAAACGTACATTAGTAAGTCCAATACATAGTTTACCGAACTCAAGGACTTTTACCTACAGTAATTCCATTCTATAGATGGAGAAAATAATGTATAGTAAGAGTAAACCGGTTTTTTTCCTAAAAGGAAAGAAATAGCAGCAAAGAATTCCAGTGACTCCCTAAAAATGAGAATGCCACACAACTATGTACATGTAAGGAGACTTTAAACACTGAGGCTATGACTGGAATAGATCACTAAGGGATTGGTATTAGAGATGAAAATATCGGTGGTCCTGTCCCTAACACCACTGAAACATTCAACACCTTACAAAATAAAGGGAATATTCAACACCTTACAAAATAAAGTAAAAAGACACCCGACAAGCAAAAGAAAGCCACCTAATGAAGACCCTAAAAAGGAAATCTAAGGAAGAGTTCTGACTTCGGGGGGGGTCTAGTTAGAATAAATGGATAAAAAGGAAAAAGGCAATAGACATAGGAGGTCTAGCATTTTCCATGAGAAATAAAATTCAGTACATTTTGGTCTTGATTTCAAAGAATAGTAAAATTGCTTCCAAACAATAACAGTTCTGTGAGCAATAAATAATACATAAAATGTATTTACAGGCTAAAAAGTAAAATTTAAGGGCTTAACTTCATTGATCTACACTAAGGGTTTAACTTCATTGTCTACTGCTAGGTGAACACTAAATACTGAATCCTGAAATAGTACAAACCCAAACCAAAGTATAATCAAAATCATAATTTGATAAAACCATGAGAAAA
Source organism: Homo sapiens (assembly GCF_000001405.40). Classification (NCBI taxonomy): domain Eukaryota; kingdom Metazoa; phylum Chordata; class Mammalia; order Primates; family Hominidae; genus Homo; species Homo sapiens. The sequence goes on along the minus strand of NC_000003.12, from coordinate 130,902,378 downwards.
GCATTAAGATTATAAAAGCTACTCTATGTTTCCTAGGCATCCCACTCACCTCTCAGAAAAAAAAAAAAAAAAAAAAAAAAACAAAAAAAAAAAACGTGAAGCCTTGAAATTAGCAGTTAAAAGACCAAAAGTAACTCCCCTAAATCTATTCATCAAGTAAGGTAAGGGAAATTAGGATTTGCTGAGAGGCTCTTTCATGCCAGGCACTTGTACACACCCTGCCTGGTCTAATTCTAACAAACCTGAAGTAGTCATAATCTCTTTACAAGTGAGGAAACCAAGGCTTAGAGGAGTCAACTTCCTTGCCGTTTGTTAGAACAGTGTTTCTCAATCTTGGCACCATTGACATCTGGGGCTAAAAAATTTTGAGGGTGGCGGGGGGAGGTAGAAGATGCTGTCTTACGGATTGTAGCATGCTTACCAGCATCCCTGGTCTCTACACACTGGATGCCAGTAGCATACTTTGAGTTGTGACAACCCAGCATTTCTCTAAACATTGCCAAATGTCCCCCGGGGGCAAAACAATCCTGAGATGAGAACCACTTAGAAGGAAGAAGCCAGCATTTTCATTCAATTGACAGTAGGTACGTCCCAGAGTCTGTTCAAGATGAATAAAGGACAAATTGAGGTCTCTGCCTTCAAGAGCTCACTTTGAATCCTGGTGCTTGATTTAACACCTCTCTCCATGCATAGCTATATGAGCCTCACATCATGACAGTCTGACCTATATATTCCCTTCAGCCAGCCCCTAAATCGGCTCACTCCTTCAACCACAATCAATGGCACCTTCACTGACCCAAATGACATCTTGCAGTCATGTCTGATTCAACTATTCCCTTAATTCTCTGTATCTAGTCACTGTCCAAGTCCTGCTGATTTTTCCTAGGAGTAAAATATCTCTGTCATCCATCCCTACCCTTCATTCCCATTACTCTAATATAGATACAAACCACACTCCCTTTATCTTCTAACAGATGAAATCAGGAGTAACTAATCTCTCTTGGCCCCTCATATGAATTAGGGGTACATATCAAGATATAATAACTGATCTACCAACTTTTAGGATAGAGGGCTGGCAGACTTCAGAGCAGTCCCCAATGACCACATCTTTCTCTGGGGTGGGGAGGGATGCTGGAATTTCTCATCTGATACTAGTTTCATAAGCCAAATATTAACTCTTAAGTAAACAGTAACCCTCACAAGCATTAAGAAAAGGACACAGCAGAAATTAGTTTGCATACCACTACAAAGTGGTTTGCATGCTATTTCTGGCATTTGTGCCATGAACTGCTTTTGCCTGCTTCAAAAGAAGGTAGAACTGACACTCAACAGAGCAAGTAAGGTACAACTCCCAAGCTTAATTAAGCCAACTAATATTTCCACCCCTGATGATGTAGAAACCTAGATGAAGGCAGGTAAAGCAAACATGCTGCTAGGGAAACACTAAAAATAGATGGCCAAACAAAATCTAGTGAAATGCCTGCATACAAAGAGAGATATAAATCTCATATATAACATATACAAATAAAATCACAGCATCAAAAGGCTAATTTATTTATACTACAAATGAAAAAGGCTCCGATTTAAGATGAGAGGAAATCCAGGACCTGGTTCAAAGTTGGATCTTGCCCTTAGGCAGAGAATAACAGAACGTTTATGTACTAATGTACTAATGCTCTATTCTTTTTAACTTCAGGACACCATAACCAAGATAAATTTCTGAAATTCACAACTTAACCAAAACTTTTAATTTTTACTTTGCGTGTTTAAATTTTCAAAAAAACACATTTACATATTCAAAAAAAAAGTCTGATGAGTGACATCCTAAATATTTCCACTTATTATTTCTGAGTTTTCCTATAAAAGGCTGATGGCAAATATATTTATTATTTAGGGTCCTGCTTTTTCCAACTTTATCAAGCTGTTTTAAGTAAGTAAATAAATAAATGAAAGTAATTTCTATAAGGATGCATCAATATCTCAAAGCTTTCTAAAAGAATAAAGAATGTCATACTAAAGCTGGGCACGGTGGCTCATGCCTATAATTCCAACAATTTGGGAGGCCAAGGCAATAAGACTGCTTGAGTCCAGGAGTTCAAGACCAGCATGGGCAATATATCAAGACCTCGTCTTTAAAAAAATTAAGAAATTAGCTGGGTATAGTGATGTGTGCTTATAATCCCAGCTACTCAGGAGGCTAAGGCAGGGAGATCGCATTAGTCCAGGAGTTAGGGGCTTTGGTGAGCTATAATGATGCTACTGTGTCCCAGCCCAGCCTGGGTTACAGAGTGAGACTCCATCTCAAAAAAATAAATAAATAAATAAGCACAAAGGGAAAAAAAAGGATGTCATACTAAATTAACGTATTTCCTTCTGAGGGAGGGACACGAGTTTAGGTCAGCATGTTTACGAAATGACCAAATGTCAAACCAAAAGGCCTTTACTTAAGAAAGCAATTACAACTAACAGGTATATTAAATAATTCCAATTCACACATTCTCTAATACCTATAGCAGAATTAAAAAAAGCAGAGATAGAAATTGAATCAGACACCCAGTTACGGCCATCTTAAGATAATGCTTCTGACCCCGACTATTACTGTCTTCTGTCTATAATCTAGGACAGCTTTTCAACATTTCATTCAAACTTTTTCTAAACACATCACAGGTTTAGTCTAAACCAACCTAATTTAACACAATTGGTGTAATTTATTTGTAATTCTACGATTTATACTTTTGTCGTAGCAACTTAAAGCCTGAAGACAGAAGATACACAGTTGACTCTTTAACAACATGAGTTTCAACTGTAAAGGTCTACTTATACTCAGATTTGCTTCTGTCACCCGAGACAGCAAGACCAACCCCTCCTTTTCTTCAGCCTACTCAAAGCGAAGACAATGAGGATGAAGACCTTTATAGTGATCCACTTCTGCTTAATGAATTATAAATATATTTTCTCCTCCTCATAATTTTCTTGGTAAGTTTTTTTCTCTACTTTATTGCAAGAATACAGTATATAATACATATAGCATACAAAGTATGTGTTAATTGACTGTTTATGTTATCAGTGAGGCTTCCAGGCAACAGTAGAGACTATTAGTAGTTTAGTTTTCAGAGAGTTAAAAGTTACATGCAGATTTTCAACTGCATGGTGGGTCAGCACCCCAACCCCCACATTGTTCAAGGGTCAACTGTATTAACAAATGCATATAAGTAGCAGTCATATACATCCAAGAGGAAATTATCAATTTAGCCTTTTTTTTGAGAGATCCTTTCTTTCATGAAATGATGGCATTAACCTCAGGATGCACCCTTTACTGCCTTTTACCAACATTTGTCTACATGAAAAGCATAAAGATAACCTTGTCACAACTGATGCCTGAAACCATTATTAAAAAGAATTTGTTTCAACAAAGTAAATGTGAGGGGACCTCTTGAACTGATCCTTAAGATATTTTAAGATGCTACATGTAACAACGGTGTAATTTAAAATTCATGCTAACTTTACCATCAAGCCACAGTGTTCCTGGCACCTTTAAAACAAAATTTAACCTTGCAAAACAGATCATGGCTAACTAAGATCTCCAAAATCAGTCCTGGGCCCCTAGGGGTGTGTTCCCTAGGAAACTATTTTGTTTCATAATGCTTTGCGTTAACAGACCTGAATTCTGCTGACTTTAAATGAATGACAAAAATATGAAGACAAATCAAGTATTTGGAATCCAACTGTCAGAAGGTTATTGCATACAAGTACTCTCTACAGCATCCTCTGGCTTAAATTACTACAGTTTACAAAATGTCATATATATAATCTCTTTTAGTTTCAACTCTTTTTCAGAGTACTAATTAAGACTATCATTTTATGGACAAAACTGCAAACAACATAAACTATATTTCCCACACCCAAAGATATATTTTTATAACCTGGTTTCCTATTTTCAGTTAAAGGAATAAAATTAAGGTGGCTTCTCATCCCTTTTTCCCTATAGCTTCTCCAACTATAGTAATGCAATTTTTTCTTGAGACATTCCTAGCTGATTAACAATTTGAAATTGAATTAAGAAACTGCTTTTAAAAGTAAAGTGTAAATACAACCATTTTCAAACAAAAAAGATTGGGGCATTGTTCTCTACACCTATTAGCTCTGTCTATAATCTTAAATTAACCATGTCCTGAAATCCTGAAGACTATTACATTTCTATCCACTAGTCAAACATTTAAGGCTATATTAAAGTTTCATGTGTATTAAAGTCACACTGAATTTTCTATGGGAAAGGCCAAATTTATTCCAAAAAATAAATCCATTACTAGAAAGGAAAACCTATGTGCAAGCTTCTCCAGCTAGACATATCTTTTCTAGTAAGCTATCACTTTAAACATGCAATTAACTTTTAAAAATCAGGTAAGAGCTGTTTACTTGTGCATCTCAAGATGCCTAAGCGGGATCTGTTTAGATTTGTGATAAACATGTAAAAACAAATTCCAAAGGATCTGGATAAAATCCTAACTCACGACTGAATGTTAAGTAGTCCAAAAATTCCAGGAAATTAACATTTTAAACGTTCCTAGTGACAAGCAGAAAGTGTTCATGAAACATCCTGGAGTCTACAGCTAAAAATTGGTCAAGCTTTGCTGAGAAAGTTTAAATGGGCCCTAGGAAAAAAGTCCAGAAGAATCTAAACCGAAGTGCCAAAGAAAATACCACCATTGCTGAAGGAACCAACACATGGATGAAACCATTTCCTCCCCACACCACTGTAAGCTACCTAAGAAACCTTCATGCTGATGCTCTAGGGAAACACTATCAATTCTACACTGTTCACACCCACAAATGTAACTACCTGCATACCTACTGGAGGATACTCTTACTAGGGAACAGCAGCATCACTCAATTCATCCAAGTTAACTGTATGTCAAACATTGCTCTGGCGGCTTCATTTATTACTCACATCAACTTTGCAAGAGGGCATTATCTCATTTACAGATGAGATAACTTAGAGGCTGAGAAAGCTTAGAAGCCTAGTAACTTGTCAGATTTTTCAGGAGAGGAAAACATTACTTGTCGGGCTTCAAATCCAAACCTGTCTCTTTCTGTACTGGACCCTGGCTTCTTGGTAGAGCCCTAACTTTTTCTGTAGGCTTAAAAGCACTAATGCCATAGAAAATTCCTTACCTAACTCCACTTATCCCTCAACTAACAATGACAACTTCATTTTGAGCATTTGGCTACTACTGTTCCCCCTTCCAACATTTAACTGTCATGACAATATTAATGCCAGGTGGCCTATTAGTATGTATCAAACATTCAGCTAGGCAATTTATAATTAACATTTACCGAGCACTTACTATGTGCCAGATACTGTTTGAATGTTTACAACAACCTCATAAGGTAGGTTCTATCATTATCTTTATTTTATGAAGAAACGGAAGCACAGAAAACTTTAATATGCACAAAGCCAAATGGTAAGCGACGAATCCAGCATTCAAATCAGTCTGCATGGTTCCACCACAACTCAAGCTCTTAAACGTTATCATTCCTACCTCACAAGAGAATTTATACAGGGTTTCTCATTTAATCCTCTCAATTCTGTGAGTTAAAGATTATCAATCCCAATTTATAGATGAAGAAATACAGGCTCAGAAAGGTGACGTAATTTACTTAAAATCACACAGCTTTAAGTGGTTCAAGACAAGTTAGTCAAGACTTGAATCCATTTTTGTTTCACACCTCCAAATTGTTAATACTACACTATATCAAAGAAGGATGAAAACTACAAAAAGGCAAGTGAACAATAAAAAGGCACAGGTATCAATCTATGTAGTTTAATATGGTCAGTCACTTTTGAAAATTTCTAGGCTATATACAGGCTCTTCTTCAAACTGTTTATATATAAAAAAAAATGTGACGATAGGGAGAAACTGACAAAAATGGTCTCTTGATGGTCAAGAATAACGGGACAGAAAACCCCACACGTTTTTAAGAACTGTATAATCTTTTACTATGAAACCACAAAATTCATATTTGGCCACAAAATACAGAGACAGACACAAGTAGGCACCATTCTCCTATCTCACAACCACCCCCTCCCACCTCAGTAGATAATGAGAATCGGCTTTATTACTCATGCTCTTCCTCCTGAGAGATCAAGAAACAAAAGCAACATGAAAGAATCCACCTACTTTAGGCTACCCTCTTAAATCTGGTACCATTCTGAAAACAAGCTCATAAACATACATTAAATGTTAGAAGTTATTTAAGATGTTTCTACCAAGAAACAAGTATATGAATGCATTTAACATTCTTTGTCTCATGTGCAGAATGGATTTGCCTTTCTTAAATCAATAAACTTAAAAGAGAGGAAAAAGGCTCAGAAAAGTGACTTTCCTTATCACCAAAAACATCACTGCTTTCAAATGTTTCTCAAGACCCAATTAGACAGTATAACTCCTCTGCAGTTATACACTTTAGTATTTCAGAAAATGTCTTCCGCCAATTATCCATCCAGAGTAAAATTTGTCAATATAATCATGCCTCTCATCATATTCCCTACATAGCCCAGAGGTCTCAGAGAGCAAAACACATTACTGCATCTATAAGAAACACCCATTTCAAAATTACTAGTCCTAGTCAGACAATCAAGCTTACATTCTCAACAATGGAAAAACAAATTAGAAGCAGCCAGCAAGACTGCAGCTCCTTTATACCAGACACATATTTTTTAAAACAAATTATACCAGAGGAAAAAACTGTCATTTGTTAAGTATCTTTTATAGTATTTTGCAGCCCGGTTAAAGGCAGAAGAAAAAAAAATGATCACGCACAAGTCAGAAGTCAGTCCAAAGAATAAGTGTTGTTTCAGGAGGGGGAAAAAAAATCACTTATTCACAGTTGTTCAACAATTTTAAAAATAATCAGTGCTGTGTAGGAAAAGCATTAAATATTTTAACGAGGCCAAAGGGATCATGTAACATGTGAATGACGATCTAATGTGTCCAAAGTGTACAGTGAACAAACAGGTTCCGCTGTCAGCCTCCTAAATGATGTTTTGAAATAGGGTGGAACTTTAAGAAAAGCACTCATCTCATAACATTTCATTAAATTCACTGGGTTTTTTTTGTGAATTGAAAAATAATGAGTTTTTTCCCCAATGCTAGACATAATAAAACATGGCTTGCTTTCTTATAAATGAATCCTGCCACACACCACATCGAGGCTTGAAACGCCAATATACAGAGATGCAGCCCCATCCCCTTGTCCCCCATTTCCACTTCCCCTCGAGTAATTCCTTTCAAATAGCTATTTAAACATGCACAGACGCTATCTGAAATGAAAACTTCCCTCTCATTCCCTAAGCTGAAGAGAGCAGGAATTCCTCAAGAAAGCTGAATCAAGCTCAGTCACCCACAGAACCTCAATCTCTCAAATGCCCCATGTTACCAAAATAAAAGCTGGATACCCTAAGTAAGCAAATCCTTGGACACTTCACATACACAGTAAATAAATAAGCTCACGAAAATAAAAAGGTGGAAAAACAAAGACAACTTAAAAGCAAACCACCACACCCTCAACTCCGCGTTGCAACCGGTCGGCCAGGGGCCTTTACCTTCATTTTCCATCGAAACTGCACTCGGGTTGATGGCTACAAAGTCTTTAGTGTCAGCCACGGCCACACTGGGAATAGAGAGGAGAGGAGGAGGACAAGGAAGAGAAGCCCCCGGAATCCCAGGCTGTCACCCCCGCTCCCGGCCACGCGTCCCACGGCTGCTCCCACCACCCCTAGCAGCAGCATCTGCAAGAGAAACCAGGAGAAGCGGCGCTGACGAGAGGCTGAGGAAGGAGTTCCCCGCCCAGCCACTATCTCGGGAGCCCCCCTCCCCAAGATCCCGCACCCGCCCCGTCGTGTGCCCGCAACGTCCCCAGCTCACGCCAGCGGGGCGGCGCCCTAGAGATGCCCCCCCATCCAGGGGATACCCGAACCTCCCCTTCCTTCAGAACCTGGAAGTTTCTAGAAATGGGGGCAGGAGGTAATACTGGTACCCACCCAAAGCCCCGGACAGCCCTCCTCCAGGCTGCGGGGTCTCAGCCGCGGGGCTCGCGGGGGCGCCCCGCGCGCCTCGGGAGAAGAGGAGCTGCTCGCGGGGCAGCGGTGCGAGGCGGGAGCCTGCTCCCGGCGTGAGAAGAAGCGAGCGGGAGGGAGGAAGGGAGGGAGAGAGGGCGGGCGGGGAGGGGAGAGAAGAGGAGGTGAGGGGACCCGTCACGGTCCGCCGGGCCGGCTCCGCGAGGCCGTGCTGGTCTGCTCCCGCCTCCGACTCCTGCGCTCCGCCCCTCCCCGCCGCCGGCCGCCCAGTCGCGCCCCGCACTCCTGGGCCAGCCGCGAACCCAGCTTTGTCACTATTACTTCCGCTGAGAGAGGTGCGCGCAGGCGCATTCGTGTTCACGGGCTGGGAAGGCGGAAGTGAAGTGAAGGCCGAGACTTCGGCCCGGAATGGACAATGTTTGGGTTTGGATCCGTCCGGTAGGAGGTCGCTCGGGGTTGGTGGCCCGCCTTGTTCTTGCTGGCGCCTCCCTTACCCCAGGGACGGTGTCCGCCCGTTTATATGCACCCCCTGAACGCGAGGGTCGGAGATTCGCCCACGCCCCGTGTCGGCCACGCATTCCCGTGGGGCGGCCGCGGGGTCGGCCCAAGCTGAGAGTCATGGCCGCTGTCCCCGAGGCGTTTAAGCGCTCTCTACAAAGTCTGTAGGGGAAGCTGCTCCCGTCGGGGTGGCAGTCACAATCTCAGCAGGCAACGTTGAGGCCCACGGAAGGAAGGGGCGAGGTGTCCATGCTCCTGCCAGGGACTGGAGCACCGTGAGCAGCCTCCCGAGTCTCGCACTCTCACTTGCAAAACCCTGCACTGACTGCTTGGTTCTTGGGGGAGCCGGTAATCGCGGGGCGACTTCCCAAAATTCTTTAAGGGGTGTGCTTAGTTACCATGTGTAATGAGAGAGCAAGGTTCAGCCTCAGAGAGCTCCAGGGAGAGCTAATCTTTTTCATTCGTTTGTGGTATATGGAACTGGGGAGAGGCTGGAACAGCAATTAGAAACCAGTCGTACAGCTGTCGAAGCCAATGAACGAGCACTTCTTTTAGCAGCTGTACCTTTGTCCAGTGTCAATGCCTTTTCACACGTAAACATTTCACTTGCTCGGCATCTTACCCAGACCCCTAATAAGTGCTTTTTAATGAACGATTGGTTTTAATAAACCGTGGTGAGCCAGACATATAATGTTGAACAGAAGTCCTCTCACACCCATAACCACTAGAGGGCAGGGCTTCACCTACTGAGTTGGTGATCATCCTACAGAGAACTCAAAAGAAAATTTCCGTATATGCTAGATGTGTTTTTCTCCATCAACACTTAGACACTTTACAAATTTGCTTTTTATCTCAGGTCCTGTAACATATCGCAGTGTGCTCTCTAACCACACGTTCAACATCAGAATTAACGGACGGGGTTGCCTGTGTTTCTATATTTGTTCCCAAGTAAGTGGTACTAGACTAGGATTGAAAATTCTGGACAGCTTTCTAGATTTACCTTTCTTTTAAGAAATATTGAACTTTTATTCAGCGAGGTCACTTTTAAAGATGAACCCATAAAAATCACTATCAAGTAGATTTCTAGTCTTAACGAGTTAACTATGATCCACCTCTGGCATGCATGGTCAGTGATTTTTGTCTGCACAATGACGGAGCCAAATTAACGGACGGGGTTGCCTGTGCTTCTATATTTGTTCCCAAGTAAGTGGTACTAGACTAGGATCGAAAATTCTGGACGGTTTTTAGATTTACCTTTCTTTTAAGAAATATTGAACTTTTATTCAGCGAGGTCACTTTTAAAGATGAACCCATAAAAATATCAAGTAGATTTCTAGTCTTAGGAGTTACTATTTATGATCCACCTCTGGCATGCATGGTCAGTGATTTTTGTCTACACAATGACATAGCCTGTGATTTGTACAATGATTGTGATCTCTCGTAATCAATTTGTAACAGTTATTACTGTACATATTCGACCTTGAAACAGCATTATATTAAAAACAAAAGCACCTAAGGTAGGAAATTACACAATATAAATACTTTGATATTAACATATGCATTTACAAAATAGAGGGTAACTGTACAGAATTTGGTATTGGGTCACTTTAGCTGAAACATTTTTCTAAAGCAACTTTTCAGAACTATCTGTTGTATTAATATACTGCAATACTCTAGCATTAACACTGAATCTATAACTCCTCCAAAAGATTTATAGCTCCATGGTTTATTCCTAAAATGACTTAAACTGAAATTTTACTTTTGGTCCCCTAAATTATGAAAATCATTGTTCCTATTACTAAGCCAAAAAAGAAACTGGTAAGATCAAGATCAACTTTACCAAGAAGAATTGACCAATTAGTCATTTTATATAAAAAACTTAAGCATCTGGAAATTTTGGTGTCTGAGGGGGTTCTGGAACCGATCCCCTGTGGACAATGAGGGATGACTATATACATATATATGTCATACACACACATATGTATATGTATAGACAAACATATACACATATATATGTATATTCATACACCCACATATACATACACACTAGCCTTCTTTCAAAAGATTTTTGTAAGAATCTCATAAAGTAAGTGAACACAGGTTGCAAATTATAAGCACTATAGAAGTATAAGATTATTATAGAGAGAATCAAGGAAATCCCTGGAGTGTTAGCTAGCTACAATGGGATTGATGGCAATGAAACATATTATTTCCAAGTTTCAGCTTATTGCTTCCATAGAAATCAAAGCTCTAAAAATTCTTTCTACTCTCCTTTTGTCCTGAATATTTAACCTACAAAATTAAATGCATCTGATGCAAAAAGTGGTCACGTGCAAGAAAGGGAAATTTGTCAGGCTTTTCCGCTTGGGGGAAATATTACAAATGGGAAAGATTGAAGAAGAATGGTCATGACATTCTAATTTTCTTTATACTGTGCTTTATTCCACAAAGGGTGTGCGGTATCTTGTTTTTAATATCAAATTTGATAGCTGCATTTTTATAAACCTGGATGGTACAAGAATATGTGGTTCTTTAGGGATTTAAAAATTAAAACTTGGAAAAAATTATTTTAAAATCTTTCCTCAATTAATTAATGTCTTCTTTTAAAGGCTGTTTTAATGTTGTTTAAAGTACCAGAGGTTAATAGTTAAGAAATTTCACCTAGCTGCTAGAAAAGAAATTGTAATTTTATTTTAAGTTGAACATTTTATTTATTTACTTACTAACTTAAGAGACAGAGTCTCTGTCGCTGAGGCTGGAGTGCAATGATGCCATCATAGCACACTGCAGTCTTGAACTCCTAGGCTCAAGAGATCCTCTTGCCTCGGCCTACCAATGTGCTTGGGATTAGAGGCATGAACCACCATGCCTGGCAAAGTTGGACACGTTAAAAACATATAAAGATGCATCACTTTATTTTTATAAGCTAACCTACTCCAACAGAACAACAGAAGTATTTTTCTTCTTATAAGATAAAGGACATGCTAAATGTCAAGTTTAGAAAACTATAGTTTTATTGCCAAGAGTGTTGTACGAAATCAGTTCCTAACAAACATCTACCAGAATTGCTATAAATCTGCCTAGTTCCATGTTTTGGCAGTGCTGGAAGATTAAAAGTTGGAAGCAAGAATAAAAATTGAAGGACTCATATGAGCTACTTGTGTTTGGTTGGTTTTAATAGCACCCAGATCCAGATCCCCAAGTACTCTACAAATATTTTATCACTCACAAAATTCCATAGCCTCTTTCACACTTGCTAGCATTTTAAACATGAAATATTTGATGAAACTGAGATGAAATGAGAGAACTTATACTCTTAATTTTTATTGTTAAAGAAGTTTATTTCAAGTATGACATAGTCTCTCCATTCATTGGCTCAGATTCTGAGCCAGTGGTAATATTTGGGATCTTATATACTACCAGTCTTCTGGATTAGACATGAGTGTCGATGGGATGCATGTGAAAATAAGAAAGAGGTAAGAGCAAAGTGAGTGTGAGTCCCATGACCCAAGAGTACCATGACCAATGAACTTCATCATTTCCATGGAAAACAGACATACAATATTCCAAATTATATAAACTACAGGATTTGTTTTGAGATACAAAGGTATCCATTTAAATGATAATATTCCACCTAGTTTCCAAACTAGCATAATTCACCTCTGGCCCCAAAACATTTGACAGCAGTAAATATGTAATAAAGACCTATTAAATAAATGGATAGCCTGAAAAATGTTTATCATAAATATTTTTTGTTGAATGAATAACAATCTACTTGTTTCCTATGATCAAACTAAAATCCAAGCTCCTACTTTCCTGTAAAACCAAGAGGACTTAAGGGATTTTTAAGAAGTTTAAGGGTTTCTGGTGCATCTCACACCTGTAATCCCAACATTTTGGGAGGCTGAGGCAGGAAAATTGTGTGAGCCCAGGAGTTCAAGACCAGGCTTGACCACATAGTGAGATCCTGTCTTTACAGAAAATAAAAGCATTAGCTGGGTGCAGTGGCACACACCTGTGGTCCCTGATACTCAGGCAGCTGGGGTGGGAAGATTGCTTAAGCCCAGGAGGTCAAAGCTGCAGTGAGCTGTAATCATGCCACTGCACTCCAGCCTGGGGGACAGAGCAAGAAACTGTCTCAAAAAAAAAAAAAAAAAAAAAAAAAGTTTAAAGAATAAACCTACATCTCCAAAAACCACAAAGGGGTTAACTAGGACAACATTATCTGAATGGGAATAAGTCCTAATTGTTGTAAGAAATGCTCGATATTGAGCACTGCCCAGAGCAGATAAAATTGCACACCCAGATTTTGAGCCCAGGTAACCATTTGAAATTAAAAGATAACAGTGTTGAGGTGCTTGTTTCCATGCATTTGAGAAATTTTAGCTGAGCCTGTGCTTTTGATTTTGATGGCATGAATATTAATGCCTGACAAAAAGCATTGTACACTAGGTCCTCGAATAAGGTCATTTTGTTCAACATCATTTCATTAAATGATGAGAAAAAAACATCAATTACTGGTAGGGCCACTGTATTGAGTTTGCACATTCTCCCTGTGTCTACATGGGTTTTCTCCAGGTATTCTGGTTTCCTCTCATATCCCAAAGTTGTGCATGTTAGGTTAATTGGCGTGTCTAAATTGTCCCAGTGTGAGTGAGTGTGTGTACATGTGTACCCTGCAATAGAATGGCATCCTGTCCAGGGTTGATTCCTCCCTTGAGTGCTGAGCCGCTGGATAGGCTCCAGCCACCTACAACCCGGAACTGGAATAATTGGGTAAATAATTACCTTATTTGTTTTATTAATCTTTCTTAAATGTATGTATAACTCACATTTATTTCAGTGTTTAATATTCGAAGTGTTTTGGAGAGCAGAGCAAGATGGCGGAATAGAAGCCTGTACCATTGATAACCCCCGACAGGAACAACACATTTTAACAAATATCTGCATACTGGAAAGTTTAACAACTAACTGCATACCATCACAAGAACCAAAAATCAGAGCAATCGGAGTACCTGGTTTTATATTCATATCACTGAAAGAATCATTGAAGAGAGTAGGAGAGACAGTCTTGAATCACAGACACCACCCCTTCCCCATAACCTAGCAGCAGCCCTGCTACACAGAGAGTATATGCACTTGGGGGAGGGAGAGTGCAGTGGCTAGTGGTCTTTCTATTGAACTCAGTGCTGCCATGTCACAGTGGAGAGCAAAGCCATGCTGGGCTCAGCCAGCACTCATGCATGAAGGGAACATTTGGACCAGACCTAGCCAGAGGGGAATGGACCATCCCAATTGTCAGAACTTGAGTTTTTTGGCAAGCCTCACCACCATAGGCCAAAGTGCTCTGGGGTTCTAGGTAAACTTGAAAGTCTGTCTAGGACACAGGGATTGCAGTTCTTAGGCAACTTCTAGTGCTGGGCTGGGATGGGCTTAGAGCCACTGGACTAGGGTGGTACATGACCTGGGGAGACACTAGCCAGGGAATCTAAGGGAGTGCTTGTGCCATCCTTCCCCCAACCCCAGGCAGCACAGCTTGAAGCAACAAAAGTGACTCCTCTGCGTATGAAGAGGAGAGCAAAGAAGACTTTGTTTTGCATCTTGCATACCAGCTCAGTCACAGTAGGATATGGCACTGGGCAGTCATGAGGCCCCCATGCTAGACCCTAACTCATAGATGACACGTCTAGACACACCATGGGCCAAAAGGTAAACCGCTGCCTCGAAGGGAAGGATCCACACCTGGCAGGATTCATCACCTGTGAATAAAGAGCCTTTGGGTACTAAATAATCAGCCGCAATACCCAGGTAGTGCATCATGGCATGGGCCTTGGGTGAGACTCTGAGACGTGTCTTCAAGTGAGACCCAGAACATTGCCAGCTGTGGTGGCTATGGTGAGAGACTCCTCTTGCTAGAGAAAAGCAGAGGGGAAAGTAAAGAGGACTTAGTTTTGCACTTTAGATACCAGCTCAGTCAGAGTGGGTTAGACCAACAAGTGGGCTCGTGAAGTCCCCAATCCCAGGCCTAACCTCTTGGATGGCATTTCATGACCTTCCCTGGGCCAGAGGGAAGCCCAGTGCCCTGAAGGGTATGTCCAAGCCTGGCAGCATTCACCACAAGCTGACTGAAGATCCTTTGAACTTTAAGTGAATACCAATGGTGGTGTAGAAAACCACCCATGGCCCAGTGATAGTGGTTGCCACAGGGAGAGGCTCCTCTGCCTGTGGAAAGGGGAGGGAAGAGCAGGAAGGACTTTGTATTGTGGTTTAAGTGCCAGCTTAGCTACAGTAGAATAAAACGTCAGGTAGACATACAAGGATTTTTGACTGCAGTCCCTAGCTCCCATACACCATCTCTGGACCCACCCGGGGCTGTGGGGAACTCACTGCCCTGAAGGGAAAGACACCAACCTGGCTGGCTTCACCACCTGCTAATGGTAGAGCCCTAGGGACTTGAGTGAACATGGGTGGTACCCAGGTAGTGGTTACAGAAAGCCATGGGCAAGACCTAGTGCTGTGCTGGCTTCAGGTCTGACCCAGCACAGTCCCAGTAGTGAGGGCCAGGGGGGTAGTATGTCACTCTACCTGCAGCCCTAGGCAGCTCAGCACAGAGAGACTTCATTTGTTTGGGAAAAAGTAAGGGTAAAGAACAAGAGTCTCTGCCTCATAATACAGAGAATTCTTCAGGGTTTTATCCAAGACCACCAAGGCAGTACCTCTACAAGTCTACAAGAACCACAACCTTACTAGGCTTGAGGTGCCCCCTCACGCAGCTATGGCTTAGACCACAATACCCTAGTTCTTTCAAATACCTGAAAAACCTTCCCAAGGAGGATGGGCACAAACAAGTCCAGACTGTGAAGACTACAATAAATACCTAACATTTCAATGCTTAGACACCAATAAACATCAAGACCATCCAGGAAAACATGACCTCACTAAATGAACTAAATAAGACACCAGGGATCAATCCAGGAGAAACAGAGATATGTGACCTTTCAGACAGAGAATTCAAAATAGCTCTTTTTAGAAAACTCAAAGAAATTCAAGATAACAGAAAAGAAATTCAGAATTTTATCAGATAAATTTAACAAACAAATTGAAATAGTTAAAAAGAAGCAAAACTTCTAGAGTTGAAAAATGCAACTGGAATACTAAAGAATGCATCAGAGTCTCTTAATAGCAGAATTGATCAAGCAGAAAAAATAAATAGTGAACATGTAGAAAGGCTATTTGAAAATACATGGTCAGAGAAGACAAAAGAAATAAGGATAAAAAAGAATGAAGCATGGCTATAAGATCTAGAAAATAGCCTTAAAAGGGCAATAACTCTTAAATTATTGGCTTTAAAGAGGACGTAGAGAAAAAGATGGGGATGGAAAGTTTATTCAAAGGGATGATACCAGAAAACTTCCTAAGCCTGGAGAAAGATATCAACACTCAAGTACTAAAAGACTGTAGAACACCAAGCAGATTTAACCCAAAGACTACCCCCAAGGTATTTAATATATCAGACTCCCAAAAGTCAAGGGTAAAGAAAGGATCCTAAAAGCAGCAAGAGAAAGGAAACAAATAAAATAAAATGGAGCTCCCAAATGTCTGGCAGCAGACTTTTCAGTGGCAATCTTACAGGCCGAGAGAGTGGTGTGACATATTTAAAGTGCTAAAGGAAAAAAATAAAATTTATTGTAGAATAGTATATCTGGTGAAAATATCCTTCAAGCATGAAGAACAAAGACCTTCCCAGACAAACAAAAGCTGAGGGATTTCATCAATGCTAGATTTGTCCTAAAATAAATGTTAAACAGAGTTCTTCAACCTGAAAGACAAAGATGTTAATGAGCAATAAGAAATCATCTATATGAATATTTACAACAAACCCTCATGACGTGTTTATCTATGTAACAAACCTTCACGTGTACCCCCAAATCTAATATAAAAATTAAAATACATATATATGTACAAACTCGCTGGTAATAGTAAGCACATAGAAAATCAGAGAATATTATAACTGATTGCAAAAACAAACTGTAATTGTGGCATGTAGAGTACTCAAGTAGAAAGTCTAAATGGTGAACCAACCAAAAATGATAACGACAACTTTTCAAGACATAGTACAATGAAACAAAGAGAAACAAGACGTTAAAAAGCAGGGGGACAAAGTTAAAGTGTAGAGTTTCTATTAGTTTTCTTTTTTTTAATGTGTTTTTGTTTATGCAATCAGTTTTAAGTTGTCTTAAGTTTAAAATAATGGGTTATAAGATAGTATTTGCAAGCCTCATCTTGAAAAACGTACAATAGACACGAAAACTATAAGAAGCAAGAAATTAAATCATACCACCAGAGAAAATCACCTTCACTAAGAGGAAGACAGAAGGAAGGAAAGAAGGAAGAGAAGACCACAAAACAACTAGAAAACACATAACAAAATAGTAAGAGAAAGTCTCTACTTATCAATAATAACATTAAGTGCAAATGGACTAAACTGTCCAACCAAAAGACACAGAGTGGCTGAATAGATTAAAAAACAAGACCCAGTGATCTATCACCTATAAGAAACACACTTCACCGGCTGTGCGTGGTGGCTCCTGCCTGTAATCCCAGCACTTTGGGAGGCAGAGGCGGGTGGATCACCTGAGGTCAGAAGTTTGAGACCAGCCTGGCCAACATGGTGAAACCCCGTCTCTACTAAAAATACAAAAATTAGCTGGGCGTTGTCGCAGGTGCCTGTAATCCCAGCTACTCCAGAGGCTGAGGCAGGAGAATCGCTTGAACCCAGGAGGCGGAGGTTGCAATGAGCCAAAATCGCGCCATTGTACTCCAGCCTGGGCGACAAGAGCAAGACTCCGTCTTAAAAAAAAAAAAAAAAAAAAGAAAGAAAAGAAAGAAAAGAAACACACTTCACCTATTAAGATACACATAGGCTGAAAATAAAAGGATGGAAAAAGATATTCCAAGCCAATGGAAGCCAAAAAAGAGCAGGAGTAGCTATGCTTATATCAGACAAAATAGTTTTCTTGACAAAAACTATAAGAAGAGACAAAGAAGGTCATCATATAATGATAAAGAGGTCAATTCAGCAAGAGGATATAACAATTATAAATATGTATGTACCTAACACTGGAGCACCCAGATATATAAAGCTAATTTTATTAGAGCTAAAGAGAGAGATAGACCTCAATACAAAATAGCTGGGGACTTAAACACTCCATTTTCAGCATTGGACAGACCTCCTAGACAGAAAATCAACAAACATCAAATTTAATCTGCACTGTAGACCAAGTGGACCTAATAGATATTTACAGAACATTTCATCCAATGGCTGCAGATTACACATTCTTCTACTCAACACATGGAGTAGTCTCAGGGACAGACCATATGTTAGGTCACAAAAGAAGTCTTAAACGTTCCCCAAAAATGAAATAATATCAAGCATCTTCTCTGACCACAATGGAATAAAACTAGAAATTAATAACGAGGAATTTTGAAAACTATACAGATACGTGGAAATTCAACAATATGCTCCTGAATGACCAGTGGGTCAATGAAGAAATTAAGAAGGAGAACGGGCACAGTGGCTCACGCCTGTAATCTCAGCACTTTGGGAGGCCGAGGTGGGCAGATCACCTGAGGTCAGGAGTTGGAGACCAGCCTGGCCAATGTCGTGAAACCCCCTCTCTACTAAAAGTACAAAAATTAGCCAGGCATGGTGGCCAGAGCCTGTAATCCAGCTACTCGGGAGGCTGAGGTGGGAGAATTACTTGAACCCGAGAGGCGGAGGTTGCAGTGAGATGAGATGACACCACTGCAGTCCAGCCTGGGTGACAGAGAAAGACTCTATCAAAAAAAAAAAAAAAAGAAGAAAAGAAAAAGAAAGAAAGAAAGAAAAGAAATTAAGAAAGAAATTGAAAAATTTCTTGAAACAAATGCTAATGGAAACACAACATACCAAAACATATCAGATACATTGAAAGAGGGAAGTTTATAGCTATAACTACTAAGAGGGAAGTTTAAGCTCTAAGTACCTACATCAGAAAGAAGAAAGAGGGTTGGGTGCGGCAGCTCACATGAGTGATCCCGGCACTTTGGGAGGCCAGGGTGGGCAGATCACTTGAGGTTAGGTCAGGAGTTTGAGACCAGCCTGGACAACATGGCGAAACCCTGTCTCTACTAAAGAGACAAAAGTTAGCTGGGCGTCGTGGCAGGTGCCTACAATCCCAGCTATTTGGGAGGCTGAGGCAGAAGAATTGCATGAGCCTGGGAGGCAGATGTTGCAGTGAGCTAGGCTGCACTCCAGCCTAGGTGACAGAGCAAAACTCTGTGGAGAAAAAAAAAAAAGAAGGAGAAGAAAGACTTCAAATAAATATCCTAATGATACATCTTTAAAAAAATTAGAAAAGCAATAGCACATCAAACTCAAAATTAGTAGGAAAAAAGAAGTAATAAAGATCAGAGCAGAAATAAGTTTGAAATGAAGAAAACAATAAAAATGTCAATGAAACAAAAAGTTAGTCTTTTGAAAAGATGAACAAAACTGACAAACCATTAGCCAGACTAACAAAGAAAAAAAAGGAAAAGACCCAAATAAATAAAATCAGAGATGAAAATAGAAACATTGCAACTGATACTACAGAAATTCAAAGGATCATTAGTGGCTAGTATCATCAACCATATGCTAATAAATTGGAAAATTTAGAAGAAATGGGTAAATTCCTAGACACATAACAACCTACCAAGATTGAACCATGAAGAAATCCAAAGCCTGAACAGTAACAAGTAACAAGATTGAAGCCATAATAAAAAGTCTTCCAGCAAAGAAAAGCTTGGGACCTGATGGCTTCACTGCTGAATTCTACCAAACATTTAAAGGTGAACTAATACCAATGCTACTCAAACTATTACAAAAAATAGAGGAGGAGGGAATACTTCCAAACTCATTCTACGAGGCAAGTGTTACCCTGATACAAAGAACAAAGACACATCAAAAAAAAATCTACAGGCTGGTGTCTCTGATAAATATTAATGCAAAAATCCTCAATGAAATACTAGCAAACCAAATTCAACAATACATTAAAGACATCATTCATCATGACCAAGTGAGCTTATCCTTGGGATGCAAGGATGGTTCAACACATGCAAATCAATTAATGTGATATGTCATAGCAACAGAATGAAGGACAAAAACCATATGATCACTTCAATTGATGCTGAAAAACCACTTGATAAAATTTAACATCTGTTCATGATTAAAACCCTTTAAAAACTAGGTAGAGAAGGAACATATCTCAACATAATAAAAGTTGTGCTGGGCATGGTGGCTCACGTCTGTAATCCCAGCACTTTGGGATGCCAAGACAAGCAGATCACTTGAGGTCAGGAGTTTGAGATCAGCCTGGCCAACATGGTGAAACCTCATCTCTACTAAAAATATAAAAAATTAGCCAGGTGTGGTGGTGCATGCCTGTAATCCCAGTTACTTGGGATTACAAGAGGCAAGAGAATCACTTCAACCCAGGAGGTGGAGGTTGTAGTGATCCAAGGTCGCGCCACTGCATTCCAGCCTGGGCAACAGAGTGAGAAAAAAAAAAAAAGAAGAAAGAAAAAAGTATATGACAGACACACAGCTAGTATTACCCTGAATGGGGAAAAACTTAGAGTCATTATTTTAAGACTGGAACATGAAAAGGATGCCCACTTTTTCACCACTATTATTCAACATAGTACTGGAAGTCCTAACTAGAGCAATTAGGCAAGAGAAATGTTCTTTAACATCTAAATTGTAAAAGAAGAAGTTTCATTATTTTTATTTGCAGATGATATGACTATATATTGGAAAAACCTAAAGACTCCACCAAAAACTATTAGAACTGGTAAATAAAGTCAATAAAGTTGCAGGACACAAAATCAACATACAAAAATCAGTAGCATTTCTATATGCCAACAGAGTACAATATGAAAAAGAGGTAAAAATAATCCCACATGTAATAGCCACAAATAAAATTAAATCCCTAGAAATTAACTTAACCAAAGAAGTGAAACATCTCTATGATGAAAACTGTAAAACACTGATGAAAGCAATTGAAGAGGATGCAAAACAATGTAAACATATTCTATATTCATGGAATGCAAGAATTAATATTTTTAAATGTCCATGCTACCCAAAGCAATCTACTGATTGAATGCAATCTCTACCAAAATGCCAATGACTTTCCTCAAAGAAATAGAAGTAATAACATGGAAAACATGGAGAAACGTCATCTCTACAAAAAACTTAAAAACTAGCTGGGCATGGTGGTGTGCACCTGTGGTCCCAGCAACTTGGGAGGCTGAGGTGGGAGGACTGCTTGAGCCCAGGAGGACAAGGCTGTGGTGAGCCATGTTCACACCACTGCGCTCCAGCCTGGATGAGAGAGAGACAAAGGAGGGGAAGGGGGAGGGGGAGGAGGAGGAGGAGGAGAAGAAGAAGAAGAAAAAGAAAAGGAGGTCTTAAAATAGGTGAGTAAGTTAAATTGCCACTGGCCAATATCTTCCACCAACTTTGAAAGCTTTGCTGACGGGTTGGTTGTTTTAAATTAAAACTGTGGGAAAAATTCTGTGTCATATCTGCAGGCCTCTAGCTGTGTTTGCATTAATAGCCTAGGCCTCCTCCCTCCATTTAAATGCTGTATCAATTTCATATCAGAAACATTTTCAGTCTCTCTTTATCCTGCTGCACACTGGGATGTGGGAGTGCTTTGGGAAAGGTAGCATTTCCTCATACCTCCAAAATAGTACATTTTGCACTTAAAAGTTTTCTATCCCAGTAACTGCTGGAAGTCAGATATTTTCTGCAAAGCTTTCTTCTGTGTCTGAACTTGTCCCCTGTCCTTCCAGGCCCCCTGCAGAAATCATCTCTCTCCACTGTGCTTCCTATTGTGCAAATAAATGAGGAAAAAGGCACAAAATGCCATTATGATAATAAATTGGAGAGTGAGATAAACAGCCCCAAGGCTTTATGAGGATCCTGCAGTTTAGCCCAGGACAATCATCCAAACAGACCACTAGTCCCACTGAGCATACTATGGGAGATACAGAACCCATATCAATGAGATGGTTTTTGAAATAGATAATGAAAAAGGGGAAATTACAATTTGGCAATATAGTTTATGAGATAAATGATAGAGAAGGGTAATTACAAATTGGCAGGAAAGAGTTTTTGCAACACAAGCAAATTGTTAATCCTTTAGCTTAGAAAATTTATTGCTACAATCAAAGATCAGGTGGAAAATTGGATTAGAAGCATTTACAGTATGCCTTTGGACAACCTTATTTTTCTTCCTTGATTATAGAAGGTAATGCTTTTGTAGCCTGTATCATATTTTAAGTTTTTAATAGTTCTAAATGTCCAATATTTAGGCGAATTGGAAAAATGAGGATTTGGAGGGGTAAAACTTCCTATGAGTGGGAACAGGTAAGCTGAGGTGAAAATTTGGGGCTTGAACTGACCCAATCAAGCTCCCAATTCAAACATCTGAATGCAAAACTATTTTCTGCAAAACTACTACATCAACTACTAGAAATATTGGTATTTTAAATGAGCAGTGTCCCAGTGTAGAATATTTAACAGGAGGCTTACAAACTAAAAATGACACCAGGCCCTTTGAGGTGAGTAAAGGGAACTCTGTAATTTTCCAAATGATAATTATAGTATATCTTTTAATGAATGTCATAAGTAATCCTCAAACATCCATTCCCAGCCACCATGAACACCTTTGCACTCCTCCTAGGTACCTGCTGCCACCACCACACCAAATAGGGGTTAAAGGACCAGACCACATGAGGGTTCACTATCACTTCTGCCAGCAACCCAGCCCATTCCAGCGATGAGGTCATCATGCACCCATGTGCTGCCCAGGGGCCCAAGGATCATCTCACCTGGCATCCCCATCCAGCACAGCTTTCCCACAGACAACTGCAATCTAAGCCACTGAGGAACTTGCAGACACCACTGATGTTGATGACAGCCAAAGAAATTATACAGAGACTGTACTATCGCACCCACCCAGAATGAAAGCCAAAGCACTCTACCCAACTTACATTATGAATACATCTATAGGAAAAAGTCTTTTTCTATGAAAGATACTGTATAAAATTGGAAGAAAACAACGGTTACACCAGATGCACAGATATTAACATAGAGAAACAAAATAACATGAAAAAGCAAGGAAATATAACAGCACCAAAAAACAACGGTAATTCTTCAGTAGCAGAATACCAAAAAAGGAAATGCATGAAATGCTTGAAAAGAAATTCAAAATAATTATCTTCAGAAAACTCAGTGAAATGCAAACAAATACAGATAAACAATACAATAAAATCAAGAAAACAATTCAGGATCTGAATGAAAAATTCAACAGAGGTACATTTCATTAAAAAAAGAGAAAAAAACAGAAATATCAGCCAGGCATGGTGATTCACACCTGTAATCCCAGCACTTTGGGAGGCTGAGGCAGGTGGATCACGAGGTCAGGAGTTCAAGACTAGCCTGGCCAACATGGAGAAACGCTGCCTCTATTAAAAAATAAAAATACAAAAATTAGCTGTGCATGGTGGCATGTGCCTGTAATCCCAGCTACTCAGGAGGCTGAGGAAGGAGAATTGCTTGAACTGGGACCCAGGAGGCAGAGGTAGCAGTAAGCCAAGATTGTGCCATTGCATCCAGCCTGGGCAACAGAGTGAGACTCTGTCAAAAAATATATATATATTAAAACTGAAGAACCCAATGTATGAAATAAACAATACTTATATAGTTTCAAATAGCTAGAAAGTGTATGTTGAATGGTCCCAACAGAAAGAAATGTAATTTAATAAAATAATAGCTGAAAAATTCCCAAATTTTAGGAGTGATATAGACATCCAGATACTGGAAGCTCAAAGATCTCCAAATAAATTCAACACAAAAAGGTTCTATTTGAAATGCATTATAGTTACATTGCCAAAAGTTGAAGAAAGAATTCTGAAAACAGCAAGAGATAAGCATCAAGTCATATCTAAAGGAATCCCCATCAGAATAATAGCATATTTCTCAGCAGAAACCTTATAGGCCAGGAGAGAATGGGATAATATATTCAAAGTGCTGAAAGAAAGAAATTGTCAGGCAAGAATACTATACCCAGCAAAGCTAACTTTCAGAAATGAAGGAGAAATAAAGTATTTTCCAGAAACCAAAAACAGGAAACTCATCAATACCCCTCCAAAAAATGCTTAAGAAAGTCCCACATTTGGAAGCTAAAGGACAATGTCATATTTACCATCAAGAAAACACACAATAGTGTAAAATTCACTGGTAGAACAGATACAAAAATAAGACAGAAAAAGGAACTAAACATTATCACTACAGAAAATCATTAAACTGCAAAGAAAAACAAAAAGAAACAAAGGGTACACAAAACATTCCGAAAACAATTAACAAAATGACAGAAGTAAATTCTCATTTATTAATAGCAACCTTAGGGCTAAACATTTTATGATTTTTTTATTATACTTTAAGTTCTAGGGTACATGTGCAAAACCTGCAGGTTTGTTACATATGTATACATGTGCCATCTTGGTGTGCTGCACCCATTAACTCGTCATTTACATTAAGTATATCTCCTAATGCTATCCCTCCCCCCTCCCCCCACCCCACGACAGGCCCCAGTGTGTGATGTTCCCCACTCTGTGTCCAAGTGTTCTCATTGTTCAATTCCCACCCATGAGTGAGAACATGCAGTGTTTGGTTTTGTGTCCTTGTGATAGTTTGCTCAGAATGATGGTGTCCAGCTTCATCCATGTCCCTACAAAGGACATGAGCTCATCCTTTTTTATGGCTACATAATATTCCATGGTGTATATGTGCCACATTTTCTTAATCCAGTCTATCACTGTTGGACATTTGGGTTGGTTCCAAGTCTTTGCTATTGTGAATAGTGCCGCAATAAACATACACGTGCATGTGTCTTTACAGCAGCATGATTTATAATCCTTTGGATATATACCCAGTAATGGGATGGCTAGGTCAAATGATATTTCTAGTTCTAGATCCCTGAGGAATCGCCACACTGACTTCCACAATGGTTGAACTAGTTTACAGTCCCACCAACAGTGTAAAAGTGTTCCTGTTTCTCCACATCCTCTCCAGCACCTGTTGTTTCCTAACTTTTTAATGATCCCGTTCTAACTGGTGTGAGATGGTATCTCATTGTGGTTTTGATTTGCATTTCTCTGATGTCCAGTGATGATGAGCATTTTTTCATGGGTCTGTCGGCTGCATAAATGTCTTCTTTTGAGAAGTGTCTGTTCATATCCTTTGCCCACTCTTTGATGGGGTTGTTTGATTTTTTCTTGTAAATTTGTTTAAGTCCTTGGTAGATTCTGGATATTAGCCCTTTGTCAGATGGGTAGATTGTAAAAATTTTCTCCCATTCTGTAGGTTGCCTGTTCACTCTGATGGTAGTTTCTTTTAAACATTTTAAATCCCCCCAATTGAAAGATAAAGACTGGCTGAATGAATAAGCAAAAACAAAACCCAACTTTATGCTGCCTACAAGAAACTCTTGTCACCTTTAAAAACAGACAAAGACTGTGAGTGAAGGAATGGAAAAATGTATTCCACACAAATGAAAACCAAAAGTATATAGGAGTAGCTATACTTATATCAGACAAAATAGATTAGGCAAGAGAAATAAATAAACAGCATCCAAATTCAAAAACAGGAAGTCAAATTGTCCCTGTTTGCAGATAACATGATCTTATATACAGAAAAACCTAAATACTCCACCAAAGTACTTTTAGAACGAATAAACAAATTCAGTAAACTTGTAGGAAACAAAATCAACATACAAAAATCAGTAGCATTTCTGTATGCCAATAACAACAACAATAAAAAGAAATCAAGAAAGCAATTCCATTTATACTAGCTACAAAAAACCCCTAGTAATAAATTTAACCAAGGAGGTGAAAGACCTCTACAATGAAAACTATAAAATGCTGATGAAACAAATAGTAGAGGACACAAAAACAATGGAAAGACATCCTATGCTCATGAATTGAAAGAATTAGTATTGTTAAAATGACCATATTACTCAAGCTACAGATTCAATGCATTTCCAATTAAAATACCAACGACATTCTTCATAGAAATAGAAAAAACAGTCTTAAAATTCATGTGGAAACACAAAAGATCCTGAGGAACCAAAGCAATCCTAAGCAAAAAGAACAAACCTGGATGCATCACTGTATCTGGCTTCAAAATACACTACAAAATTTTAGTGACCAAAACAGCAAGATAAAAACAGAAACAAGGACAAATAGAACAGAATAGAGGACCTAGAAATGAATCCAACTATTTACAGCCAACTAATTTTCAGAAAAGAAGACAAGAACATACACTAGTGAAAGAACATCCTTTTCAATAAATGGTGTTGGGAAAACTGGATATTCATATTAAAGAAGAATTAAATTAGACCCCTAACTCTCAGCATATATAAAAATGAACCCAATATGGATTAAATAATTAAATGTAAGACACAAAGCCCTAAAACTACTAGAAGAAAACAGGGAAAATGCTTCTGGACATTGGTCTAGGAAAAAATTTTATGGGTAAGACTTCAAGAGTACAGGGAACAAAAATAAAAATAGACAAGTGGTACTATATCAAACTAAAAGCCTCTGCACAACAAAGAGTATCATCAACAAAATGAAGAGACAACCTGTAGAATGGAAATAAATATTTGCAAACTATTTACCTGACAAAATATCCAGGATATACAAGGAACTGAAAAAAACCAACAGCTCAAAAAATAACTCCAAAAAAAACTCAAATATTTTGATTTAAAAATGGGCAAATGATCTAAAGACACTTCTCAAAGCAAATGGCCAACAAGTACATAAAAAAAAAAAACACTCGACATCACTAATCATCAGAGAAATGCAAATCAAAACCACGATGAGATATCACCTCACACTTGTTAGAATGACTATTGTCAAAAAGACAAAAACTAACAAATGCCAGTGAGGATACAGAAGAAGGGAAACTCATACAGTATTAGTGTGATTGTAAATTTGTACAGCCGTTATGGAAAACAGTATGGAGGTTCCTCAAAAAACTAAAAATAGAACTATCATGTGATTCAGCACTACCGGGTACCTATCCAAAGAAAAGCAAATCAGTATATTGAAGAGGTATCTACACCCCCATGTTTATTGTAGCATTATCCACAATAGCCAAGATAATGGAATCAAACTACAAGTCCATCAACAGATGACTGGATAGAGAAAATGTGGTATATATACACAATAGAAAACGATTCAGTTATAAATAAGAATTAAGTCCTGTCATTCATGGCAACATGGATGAACCTGGAGGATGTTATGTTAAGTGAAATAAATAAGGCACAAAAAGATAAATAACACATGTTCACACCCATACATGAGCTCAAAAGTTGAACTCATAGAAGTAAATAGTAGAATAGTGGTTACTAGAGGCTGGTAAATGTAGTTGGAGGGGAGGAATAGGGAGAGGTTGGTTAATGGATACAAAATTACAGCTAGATAGGAGAAATACATTACAGTGTTTTATAGCACTGTGGGATGAGTATAGTTAACAACAATTTACTGCATATTTTTAAAAAACTGGAAGAGAGGATTTGGAATGTTCCCAACAAAAAGAAATCATAAATTTTTGAGGTGAGGGATATGCTAATTGCCCTTACTTGATGATTACACATAGTACAGATGTATCAAAATATCATTCTGTGTTGCATAAATAAATACAACTATTACATGTGAACTAAAAAGAAAAGAAAAAATCCATTCGTTTCCAAGATCATTAGTCTAAGTTAATATTTCTCAGTGTGGCTTTACTATGAGCAGCATCAGCATCACCTGGGAATTTATTAGAAATGCAAATTCTCACACTCCGGCGAGTCCTACTGAATCAAATTCTGGGGATTAGATGCAGCAGTCTGATTTAGCAAGACTTTTCAATGATTCTGAATGCTTGGAAGTACAGCAGCCACCTTTTTATCCCTCCTTCTACCCTTCCCCTGAGAAAAGACAATACTAAGAATGGCAAAGTAGTGACTCGAAGAAGCCAAGTCCTTTAATACATAATTAAGCTAACAAATAAACCAACTCTGGGGCCTGCCCTACCACTAGACTTCCTCTAATGTGAGATAATAAATGAACTACATTTTCTGTTACATACAATCAGAAGAATCTTAATTGATAGATTAAATGAGAGGAAAAAATTTAGTTTAGATTAATAGGTTAAAATGTTGGTTGATGATTGTTCCTATAAAAGTGAAGAGTATAATACAATATGAATTATTCAAATGATAAAATGTTACGACAAGTACTTAAAATGTTAAAGGCGATGTTAATCAATAGGAAGTTACAGAATAAGATGTCCAAAAACTGAATAAGAAGTGTGTCTGTTTTTTAAGTTAAATAATTGCCATATTAGCAGATAAAGTTAAAAATTGGCTATTGACTTCAGAAATTCCATTGACAAGTTTTCCTTATCACTCATTAGAAATATTTTAAAATTATATAACTGACTGTATTTTATTCTTAAACATTGATGATCTTTTAGAATTTTTACTTATATAGTTGCATGCCCTGGGCACTAGATTTTTTTCTTATCTTTTCTTTTTCTTTTTTTCTTTTTTTTTTTTGAGACAGAGTCTCGTTCTGTCACCCAGGCAGGAGTGCAGTGGTGTAATCTCAGCTCACTGCAACCTCTGCCTCCTGGGTTCAAGCGATTCTCCTGCCTCAGCCTTCTGAGTAGCTGGGATTACAGGCACCCGCCACCATGCCGGGCTAATTTTTGTATTTTTAGTAGAGACGGGGTTTCACCATGTTGGTCAGGCTGGTCTAGAACTCCTGACCTTGTGATCTGCCCACCTCAGCCTTTCAAAGTGCTGGGATTACAGGGGTGAGCCACGGTGCCTGGCTAGATTTTTTTTCTTTAACTAATGATTACTTAGTGACAGATTCGACTATGGAATTGCTAAAATGAAACTAAATTTACACTTACTTAAAGTATACTATAGTCTTTTCTTTTTCCCAAAAGCTAGGCAAAAATATTTATTATTTTGTGGTTTGCACATCAACTTGTTTCTATTAGCAGACACAATTAGAACAGTTAAAAAGCTATGACATTTGAGTTTTTAAAAAACTTATATTTTTTCCTCATTTAAATGACAAAAATGTTATTTTAACCCTGGAAAAGTACAAAAGTACTTGGAAAGGTAAAGATGTCAACATTACACATTTGATTAAAACGTTTAAATTACTTTTAGGGAAGTGAGAATCAATTCTCACTGAACAGACACCAAAAGTACATATTTGTATATAATTAAATTTAATGCTCAAAACATTGCGAAGTAAGCAGACTAGATTTCATTAATTGCTTCTTAAAGGTGATGAAGATGAGACTCATACAAAGGAAGCTCCCTGCTCAAGAATTTCTCAGTGTTTAATGTCAAAGTTAGCAGTCTAATACCCATCTTGGCTTGGGTATCCCTCCATCC
Organism: Homo sapiens; assembly: GCF_000001405.40. Lineage (NCBI taxonomy): Eukaryota > Metazoa > Chordata > Mammalia > Primates > Hominidae > Homo > Homo sapiens. Next base: position 130,873,251 of record NC_000003.12, on the reverse strand, counting down.
CTCAATGTTTCCACAATGCCTTATTGGAGAATATATAAGAAGCTGCTCTGTTTATTTAGTTACCTTTTGTAGTTTATCATTTTGTTTGTTAAATTCTTGCCTCTTTCAATTCAGTGTGGCCCCCTTTAACTTTAATAGTGCCTAATTTCTGAGTGTAGGATATATGCCCCATAGCTAATTTGATGACACTCAAGATTGTATTAATTAATAAGGTAACTGTCTTTCTTAGTCACTCTTAGTCAATATCTACATCTATTCACTTGTTTTTATTCAACCTTCAGATACCATTACTGGAGAAATTATTCTCCAAGCAGACCCTCTTCTAGAATCCCTTGGGTTTATCTTCTCAGAGTTGAAAAGTACTGCTCAAGCTGGGCGCAGTGGCTCACACCTGTAATCCCAGCACTTTGGGAGGCCGAGGCAGGTAGATCACAAGGTCAGGAGTTCAAGACTAGCCTGGCCAAAATGGTGAAACTCCGTCTCTACTAAATATACAAAAATTAGCCAGGTGTGGTGGTAGGTGCCCGTAATCACAGCTACTCGGGAGGCTAAGGCAGGAGAATCGCTTGAACCCAGGAGGCGGAGGTTGCAGTGAGCCGATTTCGTGCCACTGCACTCCAGCTTGGGTGACAGAGTAAGACCCCATCTTTAAAAAAAAAAAAAAGAAAAGAAAAGTACTCCTCAAATGGGAGTGTAGTCTCATGAATAATAATCACAGATAGGCATAGTACTGGTAAAATGGGAGTGTAATCTCATGAATAATAATCACAGATAGGCATTTTAGAGACATTATTCAATAGGTAATTGAGACATGTTAATTAACATGATCTATTGAAAAATCAACAGAATACATATTAAACATATGTCCTAAACCTAAAAGCCACTAAGTAGTATTAAGAATACTGATTTCATCTTTCCAGTTAAATTTTTGTTATTCAGAGTCTTTATAATTATGTTTAAACAATAAGCAGAGTAAGGGCTAGGGAAAAAATGAGGGTTTTATTCTTTGTTTCTTTTAATTAAGACCTCATAATGGCTTTAGAAAGTATGCAGGACCTAACAAGGATTATATCTTTTTGTATATTCCATGATTTAAATCAACAATTGAAATTCTCAGTTGCTACATCACTTTAATCAGCTATCGAAGATGATATAAACATAAGAACATATTTTAGATTATATTCTTAGGGCCAAGACATTGCTTAAAGATTTTTTTTTTTTTTTTTTTTGAGACAGAGTTTCACTCCTGTTGCCCAGGCTGGAATGCAGTGGCATGATCTCCGCTCACTGCAACCTCTGCCTCCCAGGTTCAAGCAATTCTCCAGCCCCAGCCTCCAGAGTAACAGGGGTTATAGGCACGCGCCAGCACGCCTGGCTAATTTTTGTACTTTTTAATAGAGATGGGGTTTCACCACATTGGCCAGGCTGGTCTGGAACTCCTTACTTCAGCTGATCCGCCGGCCTCTGCCTCCCAAAGTTTGGGATTATAGGGGTGAGCCACCGCCCCTGGCCTAAAGATTTCTTACTAAGCATTAAGTAACACTAGGCATCAGCCAAGGTGAATGAAAATGGTCAATTAAGAACCTGTGAAACTCTAAGTCATCATTAGTATCCCTCTGGCTTTGACAATGACTTACCATCTTCTAAGCAGCATACATGCTATTCTTGAGTAGGTATGACAAGCCCTGTCAGCTTTGATTTTGGAAATATACATCATCAAATGATCTGCAACAGTGGTTCTGAAAGTGTGGTCCCTCCCACCTGGAATTTTTTTAGAAATGCAGACTCTTGGGCCCCACCTCAGTCCTACTGTATTAGAAACTCTGGAGGTGGGGCCCAGCATTCTGTTTTAATTAGTCCTTTAGGTGATTCCAATGCATGCTAAAGTTTCAGCACTGTTTACAAGAAGCATTAAGCTTTCATCTAAAAATATTTTGATCATGCCAATAGTACTCAATTCTAAGAGTGAATAAGAATGTACAGGGATAACTCAGAGATATTGTGAGCTTGGTTTGAGACCACCACAATAAAGCAAATATCACAATACAGAAAGTCACACAAATTTTTTGGTTTCCCAGTGCATACAAAATTTATGTTTACACTGTATTGTAGTCTATTAAGTATTCAATAGCAAGTCTAAAAAAATGTATATACCTTAGTTAAAAAATACTTTATTGCTAAAGAATGTTAATGATCATCTGAACCATCAATGAGTCATAATATTTTGGCTGGTAGGGGATCTCGCCTTGACGTTAATGGCTATTGACTGATCAGGGCGGTGGTTGCTGAAAGTTGAAGTGGCGGTGGCAATTTCCTAAAATAAAACAATAATAAAGTTTGGTGCATCAATTGACTCTTCCTTGCACAAATGATTTCTCTGTATTGTCTGATGCTGTTTAGTAGCATAGTAGAACCTCTTTCAAAATTGGAGTCAGTCCTCTCAAACCCTGCCACTGCTTTATCACCTCAGTTTATAAAATACTCTAAATCCTTTGTCATCATTTCAACAATGTTCACAGCATATCTACCCAGCAATAGGTTCTATCATAAGAAAACATTTTCTGTGTTTTCTTATGAGGAAGCAATTCCTCATCTGTTCAACGTTTATCATGAAATTGCAGCAATTCAGTAACATCTTCAGGATCCACTTCTAGTTATCTTGCCCTTTCTACCACATCTGTACTTACTTCCTCCACTGAAGTCTTGAATCCCTCAAAGTCATCCATGAGGGTTGGAATCAACTTCTTCTAAACTCCTGTTAATGTTGACACTTTGTCCTCCTTTCATGAATCACAAATGTTTTTAGTGACACCTAGAATGGTGAATCCTCTCTGGAAAGTTTTCAGTTTACTTTGCCCAGATCCATCAGAGGAATCACTATCTATGGTAGCTATAGCCTTATGAAATGTGTTTCTTAAATAATAAGACTTGAAAGTTAAAATTCTTCCTTGATCCATGGACTGCAGAACAGACAGCAGACATGAAAACATTATTCTCCTTTTACCTCATGTCAGAGCTCTTGGGTGACTAGCTGCACTGTGAAGAGCAGTAATATTTTGAAAGGAATCTATTTTTTTTTTTGAGGTCTCAACAGTGGGCTTAAAATATTCAGTAAGCCATGCTATAAATGGATCTGCTGTCCTACAGGCTCTGTTGTTCCATTGATAGAGCACAAGCAAAGTAGATTTAGCATCATTCTTTAGGGACCTAGAATTTTCAGAATGATAAATCATCATTGGCTTCAACTTAAAGTCAACAGCTGTACTGGTTCCAAACAAGAAAGTCAGCCTGTGGCTTTTTATCCACATTGAAAATCTATTATTTAGTATAGCCACCTTCATCAATGATCTTAGCTAGGTCTTCTGGATTACTTGCTGCCACTTCTCCATCACTCCTTGCTGCTTCACCTTGTACTTTTATGTTATGGAGATTGCTTCTTTCCTTAAACCTCAAGAACCAACCTCTGCTATATTCAAACTTTTCTTCTGCAGCTAACCCTCCTCTCTCAACCTTCACAGAATTCAAGAGAGTTAGAGACTTACTCTGAATTAGACTTTGGCCTAAAGGAATGGTATGCCTGGTTTGGTCTTGTATCCAGACCGCTCAAACTTCCTGCACATTAGCAAAAATACTGTTTAGCTTTCTTATCATTTGTGTGTTCACTGGAGTAGCACTTTTAATTTCCTTCAAGAATTTTCCTTTGTATTGACAACTTGGCTAACTGATGCATGAGGCCTAGCTTTCAGCCTACCTCAGCTTTCAACATGCTTCCTCATTAAGCTTAATCATTTCTTTTTTTTTTTTTTTTTTTTTTTTTTTTTTATTTTTTATTGATCATTCTTGGGTGTTTCTCGCAGAGGGGGATTTGGCAGGGTCATAGGACAATAGTGGAGGGAAGGTCAGCAGATAAACAAGTGAACAAAGGTCTCTGATTTTCCTAGGCAGAGGACCCTGCGGCCTTCCGCAGTGTTTGTGTCCCTGGGTACTTAAGATTAGGGAGTGGTGATGACTCTTAACGAGCATGCTGCCTTCAAGCATCTGTTTAACAAAGCACATCTTGCACCGCCCTTAATCCATTTAACCCTGAGTGGACACAGCACATGTTTCAGAGAGCACAGGGTTGGGGATAAGGTCACAGATCAACAGGATCCCAAGGCAGAAGAATTTTTCTTAGTACAGAACAAAATGAAAAGTCTCCCATGTCTACTTCTATCCATACAGACCCGGCAACCATGCGATTTCTCAATTTTTTCCCCACCCTTCCCGCCTTTCTATTCCACAAAACCGCCATTGTCATCATGGCCCATCCCCAATGAGCCGCTGGGCACACCTCCCAGACGGGGTGGTGGCCGGGCAGAGGGGCTCCTCACTTCCCAGTAGGGGCGGCGGGGCAGAAGCGCCCCTCACCTCCCGGATGGGGCGGCTGGCCGGGCGGGGGGCTGACCCCCCCACCACTCTCCCGGACGGGGCGGCTGGCCAGGCAGAGGGGCTCCTCACTTCCCAGTAGGGGCGGCCGGGCAGAGGCGCCCCTCACCTCCTGGATAGGGCGGCTGGCCGGGCGGGGGGCTGTCCCCCCCCACCTCCCTCCCGGACGGGGCGGCTGGCCGGGCAGAGGGGTCCTCACTTCCCAGTAGGGGCGGCCGGGCAGAGGCGCCCCTCACCTCCCGGACGGGGCGGCTGGCCAGGCGGGGGGCTGACCCCCCACCTCCCTCCCGGGCGGGGCGGCTGGCCGGGCAGAGGGGCTCCTCACTTCCCAGTAGGGGCGGCCGGGCAGAGGCGCCCCTCACCTCCCGGACGGGGCGGCTGGCCAGGCGGGGGGCTGACCCCCCACCTCCCTCCCGGACTGGGCGGCTGGCCAGGCCGGGGGCTGACCCCCCCACCTCCCTCCTGGACGGGGCGACTGGCCGGGCAGAGGGGCTCCTCACTTCCCAGTAGGGGCGGCCAGGCAGAGGAGCCCCTCACCTCCCGGACAGGGCAGCTGGCCGGGCGGGGGGCTGACCCCCCCACCTCCCTCCCGGATGGGGCGGCTGGCCGGGCAGAGGGGTCCTCACTTCCCAGTAGGGGCGGCCGGGCAGAGGAGCCCCTCACCTCCCGGCCGGGGCGGCTGGCCGGGCGGGGGGCTGAGCCCCCCCACCTCCCTCCGGGACGGGGTGGCTGCCGGGCGGAGACGCTCCTCACTTCCCAGACGGGGTGGTTGCCGGACGGAGGGGCTCCTCACTTCTCAGACGGGGCGGTTGCCAGGCAGAGGGTTTCCTCACTTCTCAGACGGAGCGGCCGGGCAGAGACGCTCCTCACATCCCAGACAGGGCGGCAGGGCAGAGGTGCTCCCCACATCTCAGACGATGGGCGGCCGGGCAGAGACGCTCCTCACTTCCTAGATGTGATGGCGGCGGGGAAGAGGCGCTCCTCGCTTCCTAGATGGGATGGCGGCCGGGCAGAGACGCTCCTCACTTTCCAGACTGGGCAGCCAGGCAGAGGGGGCTCCTCATATCCCAGACGATGGGTGGCCAAGCAGAGACGCTCCTCACTTCCCAGACGGGGTGGCGGCCGGGCAGAGGCTGCAATCTCGGCTCTTTGGGAGGCCAAGGCAGGCGGCTGGGAGGTGGAGGTTGTAGCGAGCCAAGATCACGCCACTGCACTCCAGCCTGGGCACCATTGAGCACTGAGTGAATGAGACTCCGTCTGCAATCCCGGCACCTCGGGAGGCCGAGGCTGGCGGATCACTCGCGGTTAGGAGCTGGAGACCAGCCCGGCCAACACAGCGAAACCCCGTCTCCACCAAAAAAAAACGAAAACCAGTCAGGCGTGGCGGCACTCGGCAGGCTGAGGCAGGAGAATCAGGCAGGGAGGTTGCAGTGAGCCGAGATGGCAGCAGTACCATCCAGCTTTGGCTCGGCATCAGAGGGAGACCGTGAGGGAGAGGGAGAGGGAGAGGGAGAGGGAGAGGGAGAGGGACAATCATTTCTATTTTTTGATTTAAAGAGAGGAATGTATGACTCTTTCTTTCACTGGAACATTTACAGGCCATTGTAGGGTTATTATTGGACTACTTTCAGTACTATTGTGTCCCAAGAAATAGGAAGGCCCAAGGAGAAGAGAGCTGGGGAAATCACTGGTCAGTGGAGAAGTCAGCACACACATTTATCCATTAAGTTTTCTGTCTAATGCGGGCATGATTCAGGGCACCCCACAACAATTACAATAGTAACATCAAAAATTACCACAGGTCATCATAACAGATATAATAATAATGGGAAAGTTTGAAACATTGCAAGAATTACTAAAATGTGACACAGAGACATGAAGTGAATACATGATTTTGGAAAAATAGTGCCAATGAACTTCCTCAATGCAAGGTTGCCAGAAACCTTCAATTTATAAAAAACACAATTACCTGTTAAGTGCTATGTATATATAAGTGAAGTGGAATAAAATGGAAGTATGACCGTACATGAATATTTAAACCTCCTCCAGCATTCTTAAATTATATAAGGATTTGAATTTCTTTGAGTAGACACTTATTGGCCTAAAACCAGCTATTTTAAAATATGAGAGGAAAGAGTATTAAAATCATAAAGAAATCATACTTCTCCCCTCTTAGGTAATTGAGTATCACATTGGCAAAACCACAGTTTGAGAGAATAAGAACAAAGTTAGCAATTCAGTGATAATGGAGCTACAGTTGTCATCCTAGCTATGAAGCCAGTTTTTGTTTTCTTATTCCAGGTCAGGACCTTTGGAACAATGCTTCTTTGACTAGGTGTATCAGGCTTTAGCAGCACCAGTTAGATGAAAGAAGAGGAGTAGGGAAGCTTCACAAAGTAAGGATAAAATGCCATTTTCTTGAAACTGGGTTTCTCAAACAAATAATTTTATCCTTAAAGAAAATAAGTTGGATAACATTTCAGAGGCTCTAAAAATTTCAAGTATATTACACACAAATTTTATGTTGGGGACAGAGCAAAAGGAGTTTTTTGACGCTAGTGAAATGGCTTTACACAATTCTCACTATTTAATCACTTGAAACAAACATGTCTTCATTATTTAAGGCTAAAATACTTCTATAATTTGCTTTATTTATTTTTAGATGACTTATAAGCCATGGTCTAGTTAAGTTGTAAACTTGGGTAATATAGTAATGGTACAGAACAGAATTGTAAGCACTGCTTACATTTAAGGATAATTATGCATATATAATCAAAAAAGGAGGATTCTAGAGTTTCAGCTAAGAATAGGATATATATGAAAAAAGTAGACATTTCAATACATTCTCAATGAGCAAAATTCAGCAAAAAAGGTCAATATATGATTATGGGGATTAAACAAAGTTAAAAAATTTTTAAATCAACATAAAGATGATCTTTATCTAGAGTATCAGACAAGTTTCAGAAACTATGTATATTAGTCTGTTTTGATGCTGCTGAAAGACATCCCCAAGACTGGGATAAAAAAGAGGTTTAATTGGACTTACAGTTCCACATGGCTGGGGAGGCCTCAGAAACATGGCGGGAAGTGAAAGGCACTTCTTACATGGTGGCAGCAACAGAAAATGAGGAAGAAGCAAAAGCAGAAACCCCTGATAAACCCATCAGACCTTGTGAGACTTATTCATTATCATGAGAATAGCTCCGGGAAGACTGGCCCCTATGATTCAATTACCTCCACTTGGGTCCATCCCACAACACATGGGAATTCTGGAAGATAGAAGTCAAGTTGAAATTTGGGTGGGGACACTGTCAAACCATATTATTCTGCTCCTGGGCCCTCCAAATATCATCTCCTAACATTTCAAAACCAATCATGCCCTCCCAACAGTCCCCCAAAGTCTTAAGCCATTTCAGCATTAACCCAAAAGTCCACAGTTCAAAGTTTCACCTGAGAGAAAGGCAAGTCCCTTCCGCCTATGAGCCTGTAAATCAATAGCAAACTAGTTACTTCCTAGATACAATGGAGGTACAGGTATTGGGTAAATGTGGCCATTCCAAATGGAAGAAATTGGCCAAAACAAAGGGGTTACGAGGCCCATACAAGTCCAAAAATTCAGTAGGGCAGTCAATTTTTAAAGCTCCAGAATGATCTCCTTTGACTCCAGGTCTCACATCCAGGTCATGCTGATGCAAGATTGGGTGCCCATGGTCTTAGGCAGCTCCACCCCTGTGGCTTTGCAGGGTACAGCCTCCCTCCTTGCTGCTTTCATGGGCTGACGTTGAGTGTCTGCGGCTTTTCTAGGAGCACGGTGCAAGCTGTCGGTGGATCTACCATTCTGGGGTCTGGAGGATGGTGGCCCTCTTCTCACAGCTCCACTAGGCAGTGCCCCAGTAGGGACTCTGTATGGGGGCTCTGACTCCACATTTCCCTTCCACACTGCTCTGGCAGAAGTTCTCCATGAGGACCCCACCCCTGCAGCAAACATTTTCCTGGGCATCCAGGTGTTTCCATACATCTTCTGAAATCTAGGTGGAGGTTCCCAAACCTCAATTCTTGACTTCAGTGCATTCACAGGCTCAACAACACGTGGAAGCTGCCAAGGCTTCGGGCTTCCACCCTCTGAAGCCATAGCCTGAGCTGTACATTGGCCCCTTTCAGCCATGGCTGGAACACAGGGCACCAAGTCCCTAGGCTGCACACAGCACAGGGACCCTGGGCCCAGCCCACGAAACCACAGGCCTCCAGGCCTGTGATGGGAGGGGCTGCTGTGAAGGTCTCTGAAATGGCCTGGAGATACTTTCCCCATGGTCTTGGGGATTATCATTAGGCTCCTTGCTACTTATGAAAATTCCTGCAGCCAACTTGAATTTCTTCCCAGAAAATGGGTTTTCCTTTTCTATCACATAGTCAGGCTGCAAGTTTTCCAAACTTTTATGCTCTGCTTCCCTTATAAAACTGAATGTCTTTAACAGTGATGAAGTCACCTCTTGAATGTTTGCAGCTTAGAAATTTTTTCTGTCAGATACCCTAAATCATCTTTCTTAAGTTCAAAGTTCCACAAATCTCTAGGGCAGAGGCAAAATGCTGCCACTCTCTTTGCTAAAACATAACAAGAGTCACCTTCACTCCGGTTCTCAACAAGTTCCTCATCTCCATCTGAGACCATCTCAGCCTGGACCTTATTGTCCATATCACTATCAGCATTTTGGACAAAGCCATTCAACAAGTCTTTAGGAAGTTCCAAACTTTCCCAAATTTTCCTGTCTTCTTCTGAACCCTCCAAACTGTTCCAACCTCTGCCTGTTTCCCAGTTCCAAAGTCACTTCCACATTTTCGGGTATCTTTTCAGCAACACCCCACTCTACTGGTACCAATTTACTATATTAGTCTGTTTTCATGCTGCTGATAAAGATATGCCCGAGACTGGGAAGCAAAAGAGGTTTAATTGGACTTACATTTCCACATGACTAGGGAGACCTTGGAATCATGGCGGAAGGCAAAAGGCACTTCTTACATGGCAGCAGCAAGAGAAAATGAGGAAGAAGCAAAAGCAGAAACCCCTGATAAACCCATCAGATCTCATGAGACTTATTCACTATAATGAGAATAGCATGGGAAAGACCAGCCCCCATGATTCAATTACCTCCCCCTGGGTCCCTCCCACAACACCTAGGAATTCTAGGAGATACAGTTTAATTGAGATTTGGGTGTGAACACAGCTAAACCATATCACTATACTATAATTGCAAATAACACATGAGTTTGCAAAAGCTTGATTACATCTTAATGAATTCTTAAAGACTTTATCTTTCTTTAGTGATGTTTTAGTTTTTCCACTATGTGATCTTAAACAGCAATAACACAGTCTTTCTCTGTGTGTGTGTGTGTTAACTGGTCTGCTTGGAAGAATAGTAAATGGTGTGTTTAATATTAATTAGACTAATATAGGAGTATAGAGATCTATTTGTATTTGCAAAGAATCCCTTTGCAAATAATTCTTTTTTGAATATAAATGGTGGCAGAGGAGTCTGAGACCTTTGAGTTTTAGCAGTACCAGAACATCTATATCTTCAACATATTATTTATAAAATATACTGAATAGAACATCCTCTACTTCATTCAATGAGTTTGGGAGCTGAAGCTGCTCAGAATAGGATCTCATATAACATCATTTTTTGAAGCGCTATATGGCATGGACTCTTGTGTATTATAGTGTAATACCATTTTTTTTGGTTACACCTTTCCTCCAGAGCTGGGTTTTCTTGGAAGCCAACAAAGCTTAAGCTTCAAGGTCCCTCACTTGCAGAACCCTCTTTAAGGCCCCGAGAAAGACTCTAGCATTGTTCTCATAATCTTATGTTTCGTTAAAAATTTGCAAAATATATTTTAACTGCAATTGGCTTGAGAGCACTCTTTTTACTGGCTATCCCTCCTTCACAATTCTACTCCTATCAGGTAGCACTGAAGTGGCCATAGGTATGTCTTGGATCTGGCTCAAAGAAAGTTGAGATGGGGATACCCTTAGATTTCATTTGGATTTAGTGGATTATATAATTGTGGTTTGTAGTCATGCCTGTGCATGGTTAAGTTATTGCTAAATGTTTTGGTGGAGAAATGACATACAGGAATATCCCTACTACCTGTACTAAATCACTGGGCTGAAATCTTCATATAAATATGTCCTATGGTGCTCAGCACCTGAAGTATGTGGGTAGTAAAGGAGAAACAGAGCCAAAAGCTAGGCGATGGAACTTTTCTAGACTCTAATGAAAAACAATTAACTATGTCAGGGGAGTATCTGAATTATCTTTCTATTATCTCTTTATAGAATATTTAAAAAATCAGCCAAGTGCGGTGGCTCACACCCATAATTTCAGCACTTTGGGAGGCCGAGGCAGGCAGGTCACCTGAAGCCAGGAGTTCGGGACCACGCTGGCCAACATGCTGAAACCCTGTCTCTTACTAAAAATAAATAAATAAATAAATAAATAAATAAATAAATAAATAAAGTGAATAAGTAAGTATAATAAATAAAAATAAAGGCCGGGCACAGTGGCTCATGCCTATAATCCCAGCACTTTGGGAGGCCAAGGAGTAGGGATCACGAGGTCAGGAGACTGAGACCATCCTGGCTAACACGGTGAAACTCCGTCTCTACTAAAAATACAAAAAAAAAAAAAAAATTAGCCAGGCATGGTGGCAGGCGCCTGTAGTCCCAGCTACTCGGGAGGCTGAGGCAGGAGAATGACATGAACCCAGGAGGTGGAGCTTGCAGTGAGCCAAGATGGCGCCACTGCACTTCAGCCTGGGCGACAGAGCGAAACTCCATCTCAAAAAAAATTTTTTTAATTAAAAAATCAAAATCAAAATAAATCATCATTGTGTTAGGAGGTCATTAAAGATCCTGTGGCCCCCACATTGTAGGAACAAAACATTTAGGGTGTATTCATTAATTTTTAATTGGTAAAAACACTTATTTCCTAGATTTTGTGATGCCTATGGTATTTGTCACTCAGATTTGTAATTTGTTGTGATTTCTTCTTCCATTCTAAATAAGTATTCACTTCGTATCTACTTTAATGTTGACAATTTTGTGATGTTAATTTTATGTCTCAATTTTACTGGGCTAAGGGATGGTCAGATAGCTGGTAAAATAAATAAATAAATAAAAATAAAAAAACACATTATATCTGGGTGTGTCTGTAAGGTGTTTGGGGGAAGAGATTAGCATTTGCATTAGTGGACTGAGTAAAGAAGATTCACCCTCATCAGTATGAACGTTCCTCATCCAATCCATTGAGAACCCAAATAGGACCAAAAGGCAGAGGAAGGGTGAATTTGCTTTCTCTGAACTGGAACATTGATCTTCTCCTGCCTTCAGACATTAGTGCTCCCAGTTCTTACGCCTTCTGACTCTGAATAAATTACATTGCTGTCTTTCTGGGTTCTCAAGCTTATAGACAGCAGATTATGGGATTTCTCTGCCTCCATAATTGCATGAGCCGATTCCCATAATAAATACCTCACCTCCTAGAGAACCCTGATACAGACTTTTGAGATAAGGTCTCACTCTGTTACCCAGGCTGGAGTGCAGTGGCGTGATCTCGGCTCACTGCAACCTCTGCCTCTCAGGTTCAAGTGATCCTCCTGCCTCAGCCTCCCGAGTAACTAGGACTACAGGTGCATGCCACCAAGCCTGGCTAATTTTTGTATTTTTAGTAGAGACAGGGTTTCACCATGTTGTCAGGCTGGTTTTGAACTCCTGACCTCAACTGATCCACCCACCTCAGCCTCTCAAAGTGTTGGGAATACAGGCGTGAGCCACCGCACCATGTCGAGAAACCTGATACAGATTTTATATTCTTTTTCTTAAACAAAGTCTCCCAAATTGAATAAACTTTAAACTTTGCAAAAACCTGTATTTCCACCTATATTTCTCATTCTAAAAAAGATTTAAGGTATCTTCCAAACACAATAGTTATGATGGTTTTATTTTCAACTCCTTTATCCTCATAAATGAGAGAAAATCTGAGGTCAAGGAAAAAAGGAAGGAAAAAGTAAGAAAGGAAGGAGTGAAGGGAAGAAGGAGAGAAAGGAATCCTATCTATGGGAGGTATCTCTGTATGAGGGAATGAATTGGGCTTTGAGGTCAAACAGACAAACCTGGAGCTAAAATCTCAGAGTCATCATTTATGAGCTATGTAGCAAGTTACTTTACCTCTTGAAACCTCAGTTCTCTCACCCACAAAATGGGGATAATACCACTGACTTTGCAAGGTTATTATGAGAAATAAATTACAACATACGTAAAGCACCTTGTCAAGTGCCTGACACATATAAGGCATTTAATACAAATTTAAAATATTTTATTCTTGAATGCATAACCTAAGTTGTATCTCCTGAAATAGCCTTACTAATATGCCACCTTTAGGGTGAGTAGGAAAGAAATAATTCCAACATTTTTCCTGCTCTCTTCACAGCAAATCATGAGCAGTACAACATATGTGGGTATTTTCATTTTGTTTTCTGTCAAGACATGGGACTGTCTGTACAAGGTGCAAAAATATGTCATCTTTCATTCTGAACAAAAGCTAACGAAGTGTAGATGAACTGTCTAAAACATGGAATGGGATAGCAAATTTAGGAATCTTTAAAAAAGCTACACTGTCACAGAAAAGGGTTTTGCACTTTATGTTTGTTTTAATGAAAAATAATCATACATTAACTGTATTAGGGCAGTATCCAAATTATCTTTCTACTATCTCTTCACAGAGTATTTAAAAACCATCACTTTATGAGGAGGTGATTAAAGACCCTGTGGCCCCCACAATGTAGGAACAAAATATTTTAGGATGGATCTGTTAACTTTTAATTGGTAAAAACACTTATTTTCTAGATTTTTTTGATGCTTGTGATATTTGTCATTCGAATTTGTAATTTGTTGTGATTTCTAATTCAATTTCTTATTCTAATAATGTGCTTATTTCAAAGACAAAGCAACAGTTTTGATATTCATCCATTTACTGACTCCCATGTTTCAAAGGCACCAGAGCACAGTAGGTTAGAAAAATTTTAAAGTAAATGAAGGGATTAAAAATAGCTCAGAAATCAACCCAGGGTCCAGGTGTCTCTTAGGCTTGTCTGACACTTCACTGCTGTGATGCTGTGGACAAGAAGGATGGAACACCTTCAGAAGGGACCATAATAAACGGCAAGTTGCCAGCACTGACTGCATTGAAGAAAATCTGAAGGTAAAAGAGGCTTGATTGAAGAAGAAGAAAAAACAACAGTGGTTAAAGTGCCACAAAATAACCTGAAATTTCTTGGCACCCCCATTTATCAATGACTGCTATGTATATTTAGCTATTTATCGTTATACTGGAAGGGGTTAGATAACTTACAAACTATGGATTAGAAGTAGTTAAGTGGTCGATTAGGCTTAGAAAAGCTAGTCACAGGTACATAGCTCTTCACTTGAGGTCTTTGCTAGATGTAACTTTTGTTTTTTACCTTGACGGAGAATTACATGCTACTCTAATCACCAAAGGCATTTGATTCTGTCTTCTTTGGTCTTAGACTCTAGAGCAACATGCTAAGACTATGGAGTATTTACCACTAACCAAATAAAACGGGAATCCTAACTACACATCTATGCCCTCTGCCCTCTCCTTATTTCTAAAATATCTGAATTGTTCATCTCTCTATTGCCTATTATACTAGAATATCAGAGCTGGAACCTAATAAGTCATTCAGTCTTCTCTTTTATGATGCAGAAACCATTGCCACAACATCCCCTAAGGAGGGGTCACATACCCCCGCACTCTGCAGAAGATAATTCATTTCTTTACCTTTCATTTTTAGAAAGTTCATCTTTATTAGTATATCATAATCCCTCCCTGCAATTCTACCCATTGGTCATGGTTATTTCCTCCGGAACCTCCCAAATGCATACCTATCTTTCTTCATGAATTAGCCCTATGATTCTTAAGTCCAATACCTTAATCACTCAGCCATTCTGGTACTACAGCCCTAAGATTCTTACAAAACACATACACAAACACATATACAAAAGCAGTCATGTATCTTCCTCACAAAGTCTAACATCCAGGATTATTTCAAGTACTTCAGTCTCAAGATAGAATTCATTGCACCCCTACTCCCCACATTCACTAATTCCACAAACTTGTATTCAGTGCCTTCCATCTGTCAGGCACTTTGCTAGTCACCTGGGATACATCGGGAATCAAATAGCCCCCACAGAAAGATGCGAAATTGCTACTAGGATAAATACAGCAAAGGACAGTTACCAAGTGCCTTCAAAGGATGTAATGAAGCAAGGTGGAAAAGTCAGAAAAGGCTGCTCTAAAGGAGTTAATATTGAATTAAAATCTGAAGGAAGAGTAGATACTAACTGAGGGAGGATAGAAAGATGATTATTGGAACAGATGCCCTAGCCAGGAAGTAGCAGGGAAACTTGCATACATAGAAGAAGTGTGCTATAGCTAGGGTTCAGAGAACAGGGGGTGTGATGGTTAATATTGAGTGTCAACTTGATTGGATTGAAGGATGCAAAGTATTGTTCCTGGATGTGTCTATGAGGGTATTGCCAAAGGGGATTAACATTTGAGTCAGTGGACAGGGAGAGGCAGACCCACCCTCAATCTGGGTGGGCGCCATCTAATCAGCTGCCAGCACAGCTAGAATAAAGCAGGCAGAAGAAAGTGGCATGAGGAAACTGGCTGAGTCTTCCGGCCTTCATCTTTCTCCCATGCTGGATGCTTCCTGCACTGGAACATCGGACTCCAAGTTCTTCAGCTTTTGGACTCTTGGACTTAACACCAGTGATTTACCAGGGGCTCTCAGGCCTTTGGCTACAGACTGAAGGCTGCACAGTCAGCTTCCCTACTTTTGAGGTTTTGAGACTCAGACTGACTTCCTTGATCCTCAGCTTGCAAACGGCCTATTGTGGGATTTCACCTTGTGATCGTGTGACTCATGTGAGTCAATTCTCCTAATAAACTCCCCATCATATATGCAAATATCCTCTAGTTCTGTCCCTTTAGAGAACCCTAACTAACACAGAGGGGCAAGGTCAACATGCAGCAGGGAGAGAATCAGAGCTGGACCATACAAACCCCTCCACATTAGGGAGCTTTGTCTGTATCCAAAAAGCAAATGGAAGCCAGTGAAAGATCATAAGCATGGGGCTAGGTGGTAGTGTTCAGAAGACCTCTCTGACTGTAGTGTGGATTACTGGGAGACCAATGAGGAAGGTATTACAGTATTTCAGGCAAGAAGTAATGACGGTCTTTGGGCTAGGGTGGTGAAAGAGGGAAGTAGACCAACCGGTTTGGGAGTTTTTTAGGGGTAGAATTGAATGGAGTTGGTGATAGATTAAATATTGACTAAGGGAGCAGAAAGCACCAAAGATGAACCTAGGCCTCTGCCTAAATATCAGGATGGTGATATTTTCTTAGATAGTGAAGACATATTTGGGAGAGAGAAAGACCATGAGGGTGGTTGCTGACAACTAGAAAGCCATTTATCTTTATGCAAGCTATCAATGATAACTCTCAGGCATCTTGTAGATAATGTGAAAAACCATTGGTAGCTTTTTATTTTTTGGTAAATACATAGCTCATTTAAAAAATTTCTCCCTTCAGATAGAGGAAAAGGTTGTCATTACCATAATAAAATAGTTCCACTTTTAATGTCACATTTAATAATCAGAAATATTAAAGTTCAACTTCATGTTGTCACAATTTAACTGTCAATGTTACCTATATATAATTATACAAATTCCTCCACAGGAGTGGCATAGACTCTCTGTCCTCTATCTTAACCCATTTGTGCCCAAAGTTACAATTTTTTGAATTTTTGCAATCAGACCTTGGCGATGGCCTTGAGCAGTAGGATGTAAATAACTCCCACATGCTTATTGTTCCAATAATGGAACACTAGGTATAAATGAGATAACATTTATTAAGTTCTACAAGGAAAATCTTTTCCTCCTGTTTGTGAAGGACTGAAATTTTTTCTACTCAAGCACAAGCACAGGGGGCAAGGTCAACATGCAGCAGGGAGAGAATCAGAGCTGGACCACACAAACCCCTCCACATTAGGGAGCTTTGTCTGTATCCAAAAAGCAAATGGAAGCCAATGAAAGATCATAAGCATGGGGCTAAGGGGACATGGAGAAGCACTTTTAGTTTCCCCTCAAATATCATTTGAACTGACAATGGATAGCATTTCATGACTTTTCAAAAAGACTTTTTACAATGAATAGCTTTGGTATACACTCAAGATATAACCAACTTACTGACTTTATGGAGCTAAAAACATTTCTTAAATCAAGTTGTAGTGAAACGTCTATCATTTTACCTAGAGAATCAGAGCCTACATCAGCAACCTCAAATCCTTATTTAGCCTTGGAAATCTCAATATAGTTTTCTTTGGAATGGGGAGTTCTTAATTTTTATAGTATCATTCAGAGTAAGTATGAGAGCCAAAATGCAGAAATAAGTTTCTAAAATTCAAATTAAATTCAAATATTTATTTAACAGTGCAACTTTGAGGTTAGCATTCATTAAGAAACAGAGCAGCAAAGAAAAAAAATTCCAGTGATCCCGTTCCAACTAGAAACATTTTCTTAAGCCATTGAAAGGAAACTTTAGAACAGCTTCCAAAACAAAATTTGATTCTACTCTGTAATTAAAATGTAGCTACAGTACATGCCCCCTGGGCCCAAAGACCACTCTCCTCATTTTAAGCAGATTCACTGTTAAACAGGCAAGACTTGTCAGATCAGCCCTTGAATGGTATTTCTCAATCAGGAAAAAAAAAATCTCTGTTCAAGAGAGCGAGACATTGGTACAGGTCATCCCAAATTCTTGTAGATTAAATTAGCTGGCCTGTGTTTTCTGACTCCTTCTCGGCTTTCCTCCTGCAGGGACACATAGAAGTGGGGATTCAGACTGGCGAGGCTGCTGAAGGGCAGTGTAAGTTGAGGGACAAGGCAAAAAAGAGCAGGCTCTGCTCTGCCTCAGTCTCTCATCAAAACGTCTTATTTGTTATTGACAAGTTGACAAGTTGACCCTCAGGCATCACCTATTCTCTGGACCCATCCTGTAGAGTTTTTTTCTCATATGGCCTTTTTCTACATCTCTGCTTAGGGGTTCACTATACATAACAGAATGAGAGTCAAGCGAACCAAATTCTAATCCCAGCACTGACACAGATGAGCCATGCGAGCTTGGGCAAATCTCTTAGTTTGTGACACTAGTTTCACGTCTGTAAAATAAATTCCTCTACATGATTTCCCCTAGATCTCAACAGCCTCTGCTTACTAAGGATAATAACCCTATTTTCACCATCTCTTACCCTCACCTGCATAAAAACACCTCAGCCCCGTGAACCCTCCAACCCCACGGCTTCTCTAATACTTACAAAGTCCCCTTTTTCCATTCAATTACATTAATTTATCATCTATGTGCCAGATTTATGCTTAGCACTGGGACTAAACTAGCAAACAAAATAATATCATATTCCCCGCATTGAGCTAAAATAAGATTTTCATTTAAAGCAGAAAATTCTGACTGCTACAGGAGACACAGATTGTAGGATAACCAGAGTGAACATGGAGACACGAATTGGAAAACTATTGCAATAGTTCAAGTAAGAAAAGATGGTTGGCAGGATTAGAAGGGTGAAGATGGAGAATTCAATAACTATTTTAGAAGTCTTACTAAAGGATTAGGAAGGGGACGTAAGGGGGAGAAAGGGAAAAAGAGAGGTGCCAAGGTGACTCCCAGGTTTCTGGTTTGAGCTTTTGTGTTGATTGATGGAAAAACCTGGGGAGGAGCATGTTTGGAGCTTGTGGAATTCTCTTTGGACACATTCAGTCTGCAACATTCACAAGACATTCAGATGGAGATATCAAGTAGATGATTGGATGCAAGGCTGAAGTGCTCTGGGTATAAACATTTGGGAGTTTTCAGCAAATAGGTGTTTGAAACCATGGGAATAGAAGAACTCACCCAAGGAGAGAGAGTAGACTGTCCCACATGAGCTGACAAACTGTCTTCTCATTGTTTGGTGCTAGCACCCATATGTAGCCCAGGGGTGCTGGCCCCTAAGAGCAGTACTCCCCAGGGGTTCATGAGGTATTTGGTTCTTGGCAGGCATCTCCAGGCTAAAGCTAGACTATAGTCAGCCCAGAAGTGGAGCAAATTCTCCCTTCCACACTCAGTGTCCCGCTTGATCACCTGAGCCACAGATCAGGCTGCTGAGTCTCTAGTACTTAGGGGAACATTGCCTGCAAGTCTCACTCATTCCTTATAAACTAGACACCAACATCTGAGCCAGGTGCTGGATGTTGCCCTCAGACCAAAATAAAATAACCGAAACCAAACACCCTTATGCGTGCGTTCAGCACACCTACTCAAACTCATCTGAGACTCCATTTAGGCTCAGGCTGCCCAACGTTCACCACCACCACTGTTACTACCACACCATTTGAATAATTCTGAGAGAAAGGTTAACAAATTTTCCCAACCTTCAGCATCTTCATCTCATTAATGCTGTTAATCTTCTACATATGTGGGGATTTGGCTTTGTGAAACACTTGCTGCAAGAGAATCTAGGGAAGCAAAGGATGAAATATTTGTTCTCAATTTGATAAATAACCTACCAACCTATTGATGGCTGTATCACAGGAATAACACTACCACCACCAGAAAAAGCTACCAAACAAATCAACCCTCATGTCAAATCTTCTTGTCTGTATGACACCAAGTGCGAGAAGAGCACTAGGAGAAGTTTTAAACAATAAAGCATATGTGAACAAGGTGAGTGTAACAATGATCATAATTTGGACCACAGAAAAGGGGTATGGGGAACTTCTAGGCCTAGTAAAAACAACAAAGGAGGTCTGTGTCACAGTCAATCCAGTGTGTACCCTCTGCCTGTTGTGTGGGTCACCTTTACACCAGTATCTGCCAGGCTCCAGTATGCCTCAGGGAACAAAGAACAAGATAACATCCAGTGTCATGTGTGCATGGGTGCACGAATATCGACATGAAATCACATGATTTACTACATAGAATGTAGTAAGGGCTGTGTCTGAAGCAAACAAAATATCTTGGAAAAGGAAGACTTCATTCTTCCCAGCAGCACTGGAGAAAGCTTTTCACTGAGCCCATTTAATCCAAGTATTGAAGGATGTACAGGAGACCTCCAGGAGGGCAAGTTGTAAGTAAAGGAGAGAATTCTAGGCTAGAGGGGGGAGTTCATTTAAATGTGCAAAAGTAAAGAAGCAGATGGTGTTCTGTTATAATATTCCCCAAGTATGTGGAAGTCAACATGGTTGGTACTTAGCAGCGCTAAGTGAGGTGGGAGAAGATTTTAAGTGGCATGCAGACACTACATTCAATAACACTGAATCATTTTGGATTGAAAAACATTATCTACCTTTTAATTCCTTTCCATCCTCACCCAGGAAACTTTCTCAGTTGGCTCCTAGGATGCTCTAACCTTTCTCTTAAAAGCTAATCTTCCTTATTAACAAATGAGCAGGTTTCAGGCTTGGAGGTTTTACAGGCAATAGTATCTACCTAGAATTTAATACTGTTTTGCTTTTATTAATTATTTTTACTTACGGCTAATGACAATGGTTTTCCATTTACAGTCATGATATGAACTTTTTTTCTAAATAAACTCTAATAATGTGATTTAAGTACAAATACAGAAAAATATTGAGGAATTAATCATACAGATGTGGTAAACAGTAAAAATTATGACAGTGCTATGTGAATATAGGAAATTTTAGAAATCTCTCAAGGAGAAAAGTTAGCAGGGTGATATTTTGCTATTACTAGATTGTTCAGGGATCAAGCGTGGTAAAATGAATAAAATTTAAAGCCATGAGATAGAAATTCACATCTTCCTCTGGTACTTTCTAGCTGCATGGGCAAGGGCTCTTAAGGGCTCTAAGTCTCAATCCCTTCACTTTTATATCAAGGATTAGTTATACAAGAATGTAAGGATTAGAGGCAACAAATATGCAGGTCATAAGATTGTAGACATTATTAACCTCCTTTATAACTTCCCAACAAGCTTTCAAGGTTAGTTATGATGAACTCTGACCTAATTTCTCTAATTCTGTGAGACATTAGGTCTGCAGAGCTGTAGTTGGCTTTAAAAAGAAATCAAATATATTATTTCTCTTAATTATTCAATTCACTTATATAAGAATTTAAGAACTCAGCATAATACTCACTCCCAGCTGTTCCTAGGTTGTCCCAAATGGTTGTACACTGGGGAAGGGACTACCCACCCTGTCCAAGTCAGAGGTTTTATGTTAAATTCTAATGGTCTTCTGAATGCATTTTGTAATACTTCTTCAATAAACTAAAAACAAAGAACCATAGAACTACACAAGCAATATAGCCACATCTCTGAAAACTTACAATACTGAGAAAAAAAAAATCACTCAATTCACATTCCACAGTTGTGTTCCCATCCTTTCAGCCACCTCTCTTCCTTCCATAATAAATGAGGCCTGAAGAAGCCCGTGAACATTAAAAGATTGGCAAACAAAAACTTATACAGCCCTACCACTTGGTTCTCTAGCTTTCTACATCAAAAGCAAGTGCAGGCTGAAACTTGGAAACCAAAAGTTGGTCTTTTAATGGTGACACCTTGCCTAAGTAAGATAAACTGGACCAGCCTAGCTCCCTTAGTGAACAGAGTCTGTTTGAATTTCTGGCCCTTGTAAAATTATTAAAGCAGGGCATACAAGCAGTTTCCTCTCAAACAGTAGCAATGATTTTTATTTTCCAAATTATGCATTGCCTTTTTGGGAAACCTGTCATGAGAGGATTTTCTGTCTGCTAAACCTATCTTGCATTTCCTGGAAGTGTTTTATTAAGTGGGTCATCTCATATCACAAAGGAGAAAAAAATACAGGACACTGGTGATATCTCCTGCATAGTTTTGCAGTTCTAGTTACAAGCACAATGCACAAGCAATTTATGACTGCTGGGTCTTTGGTATGGCTATACATTTGTCCTTCACATTTGTATACCACCGCCACACTTCTTCCTAAATGAATCACTAGATTTAAATGGATCAGATATTGCTACTTCTTCTAACAATTTGGTAAAATTCATAAAAATCATTTTTAGAAATGTCTTTTTTGGAGATCAAAGAAATGGAATGATATAAATCTCACACCATAAAAATGACTGCATGATTTTAAATGAGATGTGATCAGACATTTTAACAGTTTTAAAAATGCTTATATTCCCAAGTGATAGTGTCTCCTGCTGGAAATCATAGCTTTTGATTGGCTAAAAAGACTGAATATGGCAGTGCTCTACCTCCTACCTTTTACACACACAAAAATGACCAACTGCTTCTGAATGATCTTTATAGCTTGTTAATGATCTGTTTAAGGTTATTATAGTTTATAAAATGTTTTTTGTTTTGCAAATTCTGGCTATGTAAACATAACCATAAATACAAGAAGACAAGTGTACTTCTAGGGTCTGATACTTTCTTTGTTGAGATATTAATAGTGTCAAATTTTGTATCTGAGGCATTGGAAAATGATCAAAGAATTCAAAATTTAACTTTGATAGAGTAGCTCTTTAGAAGAAAGAAAGCATGTGGCTTCATTACAGAACTCCGCTTAATCTCAGGATCTGAATGTTCCAAGTTTAAATAAATTCTCACAAGCCTGCTTGCTTTCTGATTGCCAAGTCTGAACAGCCACAAGCAGGATCTGACCTGTACCTATAAACATGTAAACCAGCACAAATGAAATCACTAAGCGACGTAAAAGCAACAAGGAACAAGCACCCGTTCATTTTAAAGATAATATAAACAAAATGATACCTGTTCTTCGGCTCTTTGGTTTCTCAGCGTCGATAAATATCTCCTAATTGCATGGAGAGGATATTTTTTGAAATAAGAGAATCTAGATGGAGGCAACAGACTATCCATAGTGAGGAAAGCAAGAGGGTCCTTGTCTGCACCTCCTTGTCAGCAACCATATGAAATTAGAAACTTAGCAATTCCTCAGATGCCTAAAGATTTGTTTGTAGCTCGACAACTTCCCTCCTACAAACAAAGCAAATGTTCTCCTTGCTGTTTCCTCTTTTGGGTAGAGTTCCTGGTGAAACCAGACAGCCAAGTATGAACACTGTCTAGAAGCGTCCAGAAATGCAATGCCCAAAGGGCAATAGGAATTCAGGGGCTGGTCCACAGAATGCAAATTGCTTAGTGGTAGTGATGCGACTGTCCTATTTCTAGCAACAGTGTTCTGTTGCAAGCTATGTTAATATTAGCTAGCTGGTGACTTTCCATACCCACAGACTCTCGTGAGGCTTAATTTTAATTCTTCTGACACTTTTTCTAGTTCTTAAACAGGGCATGAGATGTGGTTTTCCCAGTTTCCTTCTAGATTTCTTATCATCATGCGCACACACAGACACACAGCTCAGTTGCGGTCTGAGCTGGAAAGTGTTGATTCATTCAGTCTTGAGAAGACTGTTATAGGGGACTTCCAAAAAAATTTAACAAATTACCTCACTCTTCATTGTTATCAAGGAGCTCGTTGTCAGCACTGAAAACGTTTGGCTTGCACTGTGATGCATTATGCAACATGCCCAGTAACCAGATACTTTACATTAATTGAACAATAGCTGCAAACAGATTCTGTTCTGAGTTAAAAGCCTTCTCTCCTTGAATCCTTATCTCAAATCCACAGGCTGAATTCAGAAACATTAACTTTCCCTAGGCTTTTAAAAACTATGAATGTAAGTGAGAGAAAATGTTTTATGTTTACTTTCTAACTCTTATTAAAAAAAAGATTCATGCTTAAAAAAAAAAGAACAAAAGAAAAATAATGCCAAGAGGTCTGTGGTCTTAGAGGACATGAAATCATAAAATTTGAAAGTTCAATATTTTCTTAATACTTTATAGAGATCACAGGGTTTTTCTAAACTAGGGCCCCAAATAGACATTACTATTTTATTATCCTTTTAAACTTTACAGTAGCTGGTTCCTTTGATGGAAACATTTGGTCACTTCTGTGAGGGGCTGTCATGTAGAAAACAGACTGGACATCAACAAAAATTATGTGACCCAGAGTTTTCTTTAAGGGTGAAAGCAAGCCCTGGTTTTTCCCTCTTCCTAGAGAGCACTGCAAGTTGCGGGGAAGAGGAGGTAGGCAGAGCTGGGGAAATTACATTGCAGCCTTAGTTGTCCCCCTGGACAGCCTCCCTGACACTCCTGGATGGGTCACCTGCCTTCAGGGAACACACTTGATGGCCTAAACCTGGTTGTGCTGCAAGCAGCCCAGGCCATCTGTCAGGTTGGCATTGGGCCCACTAGCAAGGTGATCTTCCAGACTCACCAGGACCAGCCTGGCAATTCCAAGAAGTCATTTACATATTGCTACTGGAGCTGGCTCCTAGGAGGAGGCCCTGCCCTTCTGTCACCTCTCCAGGTGCACCATGCTACATGCATACAGAGGCTCTGCACGTCCTTCTCTGTATGCTGGAGACAGCTGACTCTAATGAGGGCAAGAGAGAAGCAGTGTGCTTGTGAAACACCTGAATGCTAAGGGCACAGTGCTGCATGCTCCCTGCCAGTTCATGACCCAGAAAAACAAGAAGTATAGAAAGCCAGATACCCTGGGCCAACTTGAAGCCCTGGAAAGAGAGGCAGCCCTAGGGATTGTGGGGGCAGGGAAATGTGTCGTTCATACGAACCCTTGAGATCCACTAACTGCCCTTTTGCTTCTCTTTTTAAAAATATCAGAACCTTCAGAGATGCCTCTTTATTGTGGGCAGAAGCCAGCAGCCTGCTAAACACCCACAGCATGACTGGTGATCCAATCTTTTCCCAACAGACGAACACAAAGCAGACTTCATTTCCACAGTTGTTTCAGGATCACTTTTTCTGGGGCTGAGGTGAGTGATGAAAAGAAATGGGGAGGGAGAAATGCAGCATCCCCAAACAAAAACTGTTCTATTAGATTAAGCACAAAAAAGAAAAATGGGTGAAACAAATTCAATTAAAATTCCTTTAGGAATTTAATTGATAACGAATATAAATCGTATCTAATACTAATTGGGCCCTTTGGCCAGGTGATGTGCTAAAGTCTTTACATGTATTATCACATGTAATCCTACAGTAACATATGGGTAAACTAAAGCTCAGAGAAGGTAACAATTTGCTGAGGTCGCACAGCTGCAAAAACAGAGGCGAAGGGGATTCTAACCAGGTAAACCTGACTCCAGTATCTGTATCCAACCTGTATACTGCAGAACCACTTAACCCACTCCCAGAAATGAATTCTCAAGGACCTATTAACTTGAAGAAGGAAAGACATGGTGTTACCTTGTTAAAGAGGAATACAGGCCAGGCATGGTGGCTCACACTGGTAATCCCAGCATTTTGGGAGGCCAAGGCGGGCAGATCACTTGAGGTCAGGAGTTTGAGACCAGCCTGGCCAACATGGTGAAACCTCGTCTCTACTAAAAATACAAAAACTTAGCTGAGTGTGGTGGTGCGTGCCTGTAATCCCAGCTACTTGGGAGACTAAGGCAAGAGAATCACTTGAACCTGGGAGGCGGAGGCTGCAGTGAGCCCAGATCGTGCCACTGCACTCCATCCTGGGCAACAGAGCAAGACTCTGTCTCCAAAAAAAAAAAAGAGAGAGAAATACAAATACAGATGGCTAGGAATTTGCAGACTACGATTGGAGAGCAAGTACGTCTTCTCAAACAATCATACAACCTCCTGTCCTGAATTCTCTATAAATAATGTTCATATCATTACCTACCTCTTAAAGATTCCTTTATGAAATGATTCTGGTGATGCTAAAAAGAAGCTGTATTTGTAGATACAGATATTCTGCTTCCCAATTTTTGAAAACTACTACAATCTCAGTTTCTGTTTGACATAGGTTTCAATGGTCCGTCTATATTTAATAAAATATGAATGTGGGAATTTATGCACCCTGTTTCTCAGGTGGTAGGCATAGTCTCCTTAAGTTTACAGTATGGACATCTCTGCCATCACAGCTTGGAGAAGTGCCCTTTTTTTTTTTTTTTTTTTTTTAAGGCGTGCCATTTTTTATTGCCCCTGTGGCTCAGGTGCCTTGATGAAAGACAGCTGACCAGAGTCCTGGTGGCTACAATCTATATCTGCAAGGACTGAAGGGCCCAGTGTTTCTTCCACAAGTATATGAGGTATATTTTGCCCTCTGCAAAGTAGCACAATAAAGAGTGGAAGCAGGCCGGGCACGGTGGCTCACGCCTGTAATCCCAGCACTTTGGGAGGCCAAGGAAGGCAGATCATGAGGTCAGGAGTTCAAGACCAGCCTGGCCAAGATGGTGAAACCCTGTCTCTACTAAAAATAGTAAAATTAGCTGGGCGTGGTGGTGTGTGCCTGTAATCCCAGCTACTCAGGAGGCTGAGGTAGGAGAATCACTTGAACCTGGGAGGCAGAGGTTGCAGCGAGCCGAGATCACGCCATTGCACTCCAGCCTGGGTGACAGAGCAAGACTCTGTCTCAAAAAGAAAAAGAAAAAAAAAAAGAGTGGAAGCAGTTATCTGTTATTTTGCAGAACTCACTCCCACCCCTCGTCCTCGATAGAAAAATAACTAACAGAAACCATGAATCCAGGAAAGTCATAGGTTAAGGCTGTAATCCCACAATGAAAGGATATTTGTGTGTTCTCTGTGCTTTCTAATAATAATCTGCTTTTTTGCAAATGGCTTAAAGTATGGGGAATCCCAAATTCTTCACTTGAAAAGCAACATAATGAGGCAAAGCCAACACCAGGAAAAATAGTGGTAAGGGAGTGAGCAGAAAGATATTTTACAGTTTATTCTTTTTCAAATGTTAAAGAAGATAGGATGAAAATGTAGGTTTGTGAAGTCATCTAGCACTGTGCATTGCACACAGTAGGTGTTAAGTTAACATATACCAATGCATATTCATTGAAAGAGAATGACAAAGAAGAAAGAATTGGATCCAAGGGTTAAATACAGGTTGAGAAACATGAAACAAGAATTGAGAAACAGTGTCTCCAGGATACCTTTGAATTGATGAGATTTTCAAATTGCATCAGGACAAAAATGAAAAGCCCGCTAATCTCCTCCTTCCAATCAGTGCTAAGAGTTCCCATCAGGAAAATGACTCCATTCTCTGGGAATTAATCCAGCCTGGATACAGAGTGAAGGGCCGGCAGTTAGGATGATGGAGAAGCTGCTAGCTCAGAAAACAGAAATCATTTATTATTATGAATTCTACTGAGAAATCACTCTCATCCCACTAGATCTGTAGATACTGGTCCAGTCTTACACTCCCCTAAGGACAGCATCAAATACAATCAAGAGAGGAATGGGAGGCATTTAATATTGCTCATCAGGGCAAGTTTATGCAGCACCAGATTCCACCTTATTGCATGATTAAAGCACTTCTGCTACTTCACAGTACATTTTCTTAGTGCCCTCACCACATAGGGAATAATTATCCTACATCTGCAGATGGTGTATTTTTACTTTCCCAAAATTCACTTTCAAAAATCCCTCTATATTCCCATTACAACCATCATTCAGCAACTTTGATGTTTCTAATTGCTCTATAAACTGTGCAACTTTTATGCCTTTTGCTCTTCGGTTTCAAGTATTAATTTCTCAAATTTAACAATATTTCCACGCTCATGAGACACTTGTCCTCCACTGAAGAAAAAAAGACATTTTCTGCATAGTTTAGGCCAAACTTGAACATACATTTGAATCATCTGGAGGGCTTGTTAAAGCACAGGTGGCTGGGCCCCACCCTCAGACTTTCTAATTCTGTAGGTCTTGCGGGAGGAGCAGAGATTTTGCTTTTTTAACAACTTCTCCAGTGATGCTGATGCTGCTGGGAACCTCACTTTGAGAGCCACTGGTTTGGGAGCTATCAGGTAGGGACATGGCTGTAGAGGGATTTCCCAGGTGGAGTTTGAAAGATAGATGCCCTGTTTGCTAAAGCACTTTGAGAGCTTCCAGCAGGCCCACAATTTAAAACACACTTCCCCAGTAGGGGTGGTTTTCCTCAGGCCAATGCCCATCTCTTTTTTTGCAGCCACTTTCCCATAAGGAAATTCCTGCATATCAGTCTTCACATGGGCCTCTCATCAGGTGATATCTTGACTTGATATCTGACTGCTCCCACATTCTCTCTCACTCATTTTCTCTTGTCAAGGTACAGTGGTGCTATTAGTAGCCTTAGTTCAGGGAAATCAACTCTTGCTTTAGGCCCAGGACCAAAAAATAGAGCCAGCTCTACCCAATGCCCCCTCTTCTCCCTCTTCTGCCACTAGCTTCTCATCCTTTTCAAGTTGGGATGGAGGGATCCTAAACCTGAAACAGGGAACCCCCTTACCACCAAGAATCTCCCAAATCACATCCTTTCTCAAACCCATCGCCAAGTACAACCTGCTCATCTTTGTCTCCAACATGCCCATGGTTTGGGATGAATCCTCTAACTCTATCTTCTTTCATCCAGTCTTGAGAATTCCCACTCAGGATGGAATTGCAAATTATTCCTTTAACAGAAACATTCAAATCTCCCAGCAAACTTACTGTTTTTGATGGATTTGGGGCAGGTCTTTGAAGCTGTGTTGCCTTCTTCTCCCCATCAGTCATGATTTGCTCCTCTGGGAGGCCTAGCACCAACCCAGAAGAAGAGGAAAGAGGCTTTTCCTTTTAAGGAAAATGGGGTAATTTCAAATTGGTGGGCATGCTACTGATAATTCTATATGAAAACTAAAAATATGGTTTTACTATAATGCTTCTCAATCTTTCATGTGCATATGAATTACCTGGAAGGTCTGGGATGGAGCCCCAGATTCTGCATTTCTAACAAGTTCTAGGATGATGTTGATGTTCTGTTTCCGTGTACCTTACTTTAATTAGCAAGAGTCCAGTACCTGTTTTGGAATGCAAAATCAACACTCTCTCAGAGGCTTAGTTTAAACTCCAATTTTAATTGCGTGAGTTTCTTCCATTAATACTCATGACAGTTTGCTATTTTTAAATTCATTTGTTTACTCTTTTTTTTTTTTGGTCTCCTCTACTGGAACATAAGCTCCATGAGGGCAGGAATCTTGTTCATCTCAGTCACCATTTTGTCCCCAACACTTAGCACAGATGGTAACAATGTGGAAGCCAGGGAACAGAAGAACAAGTGGTAACTCACTTAACAAATGAGCTGAAGGTTAAGGCAACAGCAAGGAACACAGAGAAGAAACCCAATTTGCACTACAGAATTCCCCAAAGGCTCCAGAATTGGCAGACCAAGTAATTCTGGAAATGGGGGCAGAAACAAGGTGGTTGGTTGGCAATTGTTAAGAAGCATTTTGACCAGACCCCTTCTTACTCCATTAAGGAGAGGATAGAAATTTCTTTGCGGAAGATTGGCGTTTATTTTCACTCCTGTTCTCTTGGCTCTTTGAGTTTGTACCTTTAAAAAATAGCAATCCTTCTCCCTGTATGCAGCTGCCTTCTTTTTCATTCTTTAGGCCTCAGCTTAAATCATACCTGCTTGGAGGGGGTTTCCATACTTTTCTATCTAGAATAGGTTCCCCCTGATTTTTTTTTCTCACTAGGTAAGTTCTTTCTGTGTGTAAGTTCTTCACTGAACACAGGGAAGTCATGGGGTGATATTATAAAAAGAAATTATTTTCTACTCCTACTATCCCTTTATATATGACCTGTGTGTGTGTGTGTGTGTGTGTGTGTGTGTGTGTGTGTGTGCACCTTCCTCTGTATATGAGTAAATTTTGGAGCAGGCTGCATGACTTTTTTAGTTACTCAAAGGAACTAGAAAATCCTACAATAATTTCATCCTAAGCAAGTCTCAATTTGATATAGCCTAGTCGAAGAAAATATTTTCAACATGATTGACCTTCTCACTTCACTTTAGCTGAAACCTACTGAGCACTGACTACTTTCAGCAGAACAGAGAGGAGTGGTCTCACTCTCGCATTTCTCCTCCTCTCCTAGCTTGCTCACTGAGATTTCTGAAGCTGCCAGGGCAAAGGCAGGGGTTGGAAGGAGAGACACTGTGAATAGAAAGCTCTCACTTGGCTGGTGCTGTTGTAAGTTGGCCTCATTCTCTCTGGGCCTGACAGTTGTTTAGAGTGTTCTCTTTCCCTGGCAGGCTCTTCATTCATTGCAGCATTAGGCACCTGGCTCAAAGTTATCCTGTCAGCCACAGGGCTGCTACCACCCTTAATGCATGTCCAGTTTACCAGTGTTTGGTTCCTGGGTTTAACTGACTTGCTAAGAAAGATTTCCCTGACCCTGATGTTATAAAATATTTATCTTTCTTTTTTTTTTTTTAGACAGAATCTCCCTCTGTCACCCAGGCTGGAGTGCAGTGGTGCAATCTAAGCTCACTGCAACCTCTACCTCCTGGGTTCAAGCGATTCTCTCGCCTTAGCCTCCTGAGTAGCTGGGATTACTGTAGGTGTACACCACCACAACCTGGCTAATTTTTATATTTTTAGTAGAGACGGGGTTTCACCATGTTGGTCAGGCTGGTCTCGAACTCCTGACCTCAGGTGATCCATTCCCCCACCCCACACCTTGGCCTCCCAAAGTGCTGGGATTACAGGCGTGAGCCACCATGCCCAGCCTTTCTCCATGTTTTCTAATATGCTTTGTCTTTTACATTTAGATATTTAACACCATTTAAAATGTATTTTTGTATATGAAATGAAGTAGAGATCTATTCTACTTTCTTTTTTTTTTTTTTTTTTTTTTTTTGAGACAGAGTCTCGCTCTGTCACCCAGGCTGGAGTGCAGTGGCTTGATCTCGGCTCACTGCAAGCCCCACCTCCCGGGTTCATGCCATTCTCCTGCCTCAGCCTCCCAAGTAGCTGGGACTGTAGGCGCCTGCCACCACGCTTGGCTAGTATTTTTTTTTTTTTTTTTTTTTTGTATTTTTAGTAGAGACGGGATTTCACTGTGTTTGCCAGGATGGTCTTGATCTCCTGACCTCGTGATTCTCCCGCCTCGGCCTCCCAAAGTGCTGGGATTAGAGGTGTGAGCCACTACGCCAGCCCTATTCTACTTTCTTGCAAATGGATAGGTGATGTTCCTAGCCCCATATATTCATTCTCCACAGAATTATAATTCCACATTTATCATTTATTCATTTCTAGTATATACTGTGTATTAGTTTGCCAGGTCTGACATAACAAAGTGCTGCAGACTGAGTGGCTTAAACAATAGAAATTTTTTGTCTCATAAATCTGGAGGCTAGCAGCCTGAGATCAAGGTGTTGGCAGGATTGGTTTCTTCTGAGGCCTCTCTCTTTGGCTTCTAGATGACCATCTTCACCTTGTATATTCACATGGTCTTCCTATCTCCAAATAAAAACCCTATCTCCAAATAACATCACATTCTGAGGTACAGCAGTTTATGACCTCAACACATAAATTTAGGGAGGGAAACAATTCAGTCCATAACAACTTGAATCTATTTTCAGATGCTCTGCATGTCTATTCCTGTGTTATCATCACAGGTACAAACTTATAGATTACTTAGAAGACAATCTACTATTTAGAAATTAACTTTTCTTAATAGTTAATATGTTACATCGTTTGTAAAACTTTCCCCAATCTCTTCAACTCTCCTGCTAGAAACGAATGCCTCTCCCTGTATTTTATTTCAACCTCCATTATAATACTGTTCACTTTATAAAGAGGTATTCCAACTTCTGTATTCAAACAAGATTGCAAGCTCCCAGGGCTCAAGTAACTAAATTATTACTAAATATTATTAAATATTCATATTTGATATTATTAATAATCATTTGTTGATGCTTACTCTGTGTTGAACACTGTGTTTTGAGTTTTGCTTGGATCTGCATCCTGTGAAGTAGAAATAAGGCTTAAAGAAGTCAAGTTACTTGCCTGAGAGCACATAGCAAGTTAGTGACCCACTTAAGATTCCAACCATCTCTATTTTACTCCAAATCCTAAATTCTTAGCCATTATGCATCACTGCCTTGACAGCTGTTTTGTACCTGCTTCCTTCTCCCTGCAGAGTGCCTGCTGCACTGTAGGTATTTAATATATGTGCTTAGAACGTGAACTAAGCTGAAAAGCACACCAACCAACAAGTTTTTTTGATGTCATTCTTTCTATTTAAAAACTGTTGTGACTAATGAGCTATTTTAGGTCTGGATTACTGTGGCTGAAGTAACAGATATGTGATCAGGTCCTCCTCATCCCCATGACACATAGAGTGTATGCTTCCCAATACTGAGAGTCACCATTTCCTTCCTGTATATTCCTGGTCTTTAATATAACCTCAAACCAAATTCCATTATATTGTGTACTTGATGCTACCATTACTCAGCATGTTAAACGAATGCCATAGGCCAGGTGTGGTGGCTAGCACCTGTAATCCCAGCACTTTGGGAGGCCAAGGTGGGCAGATCACTTGAGGTCGGGAGTTCGTG
This sequence comes from Homo sapiens, assembly GCF_000001405.40. Lineage (NCBI taxonomy): Eukaryota > Metazoa > Chordata > Mammalia > Primates > Hominidae > Homo > Homo sapiens. Next base: position 130,841,288 of record NC_000003.12, on the reverse strand, counting down.
ACCAGCCTGGCCAACATGGTGAAACCCATCTCTACTAAAAATACAAAAATTAGCCAGGCATGGTGGCGCACTCCTGTAATCCCAGGAACTCGGGAGGCTGAGACAGGAGAATCGCTTGAATCCGGGAGGTGGATATTGAGGTGAGCTGAGATCTGAGATCACACCACTGCACTCCAGCCTGGGTGACAGAGCAAGACTCTGTCTCAAAAAAAAAAAAATAATAATAATAATAATAATAATCAATGCCATAAAAAGCTTTCATTTAAAGATCAAAATAAAATAATTTTATGAAAGATTAATTAGCAAATAGGTAGTCAATAAATGCTAATTATCCATGATCACTGAAGAATTTGTGCAGTGGTTGACCTATGAATAGTATAACAATGTGTTGATTGGATGAGTCAAGTTGTTTTAGGATGGAAATATGGACGGAAGGCTCCTAGTGGTGGTAGTAATAGCCCATTGTTAGGCTCATTAATTATGACTAAAACAATACCTGTTTATACCTAAATTGCTCTATCTTTCCTAAATGTGAGGAATCAACATCTTTATACAATTTTGAATAATATTATCTACTAAAAATTTATTTATATGATGCTTCATTTCCCTGGATGAAGGAGCCCTGTATTAATTGTGTAAAACATTTCATCAAAATGAATAAATTCTCCATTACTATCTATCTTCAGCGTTAAAATGTATCCTTATTCTACTTCACAGTTGCTTTATTTTAAATTATTTTAAGTTATTTCCTTAAGCTATTCCAAACAATCTCTTCCCTTCCTCAATATTAGTTTTCAAACACTTACATATTACTCTATCTCCCCAGAAGCCTTTGTTTATAGTTCTAACATTTTTATTGCTATAGAATTCCTTTTAGCTCTTTATGATTTCTCCTGCTCCAGGTCCTGTCTAGATCTGACATGTTATGATTCTGAGATGCTCCACAATGAAAACAATGTTTTAAACTCTGAGCTTGTCAAGCTCCAAAAGAATATAAGGTTGAAGAGGGGGATAGGGCAACAGAAGTGCTGTTATTGCCACTGTTCTGCAGAATTGGAAAAGTAGCTCAAAATGACAGCATGGGTTAAGTCCCCTTCATTCACGTGGCTACAAATGCATAAACAAGTCTGTTTCCAAGAGTGTTTCAAGGTTTTCTCCTTCCCAAGAATTTTTCCCCAAGTGTTTTTCATGACTTCCTACCAGGCATGTCACATATGAAAACTGACTGCCCCGCCCCCCACTTAACAGCAGGTGTCCAACTTTCAACTTCCATCTGCATTATTTCTTACACTTCTGTCCTTATTAGGAGTTACTTCCTTTGTTTTGCAAAGAGGCAGCCTTGTAACAGGTGTCTTTATTTGGCAGCTAACATTGCCAGAGCCACTTGAGTTTCTTCCAGTCTGTGGCTGGGCTTCTTGCAATTGATTGTGGCAGATGTAATGCGGAGACTACCATTCGAAATGTAAAATGGATCAGATTGGCTAGAACATCTGAATGAAGATTTCATTTTGCTAATTTTAAACATGCAAGTGCTAAAGAACACATTTTTAAAGAATTTTACAGGACACCAACTTTTCAGTGTGGTCCTAGCTTAGCTTCTCTCTTCTCAAATGCACAGTTCGCCTTGTTTGTGGAAAACAAGGGGTCACTTATGACAGAATTCATGCTCTACCTTTCCTTCTGAAAGCACAGCCAGCTCCATGTGACCATCAAGCTATACTTAAGACAACCATTCCTTGGAAGCATAATTCCTTATCAGAGCCAGAAAAAGACAGTGTCCCACTAAGAGGAGTATGCCAATTATTAAGTTATTGTTTCTCAACTCCAGACTCAAAATTCTGTTCTCTACTTAGCAACGCTGGGATTCTACACACTTTTTTTCTGCTTTGCCAGCTGTTCCCCATTAGCCTTTGCCAATGGAAAGAAACAGAAAGTGAAGGAATAAGAGGGGACTTATTCCTTTTTTAGTTTTGCTTCCTGTTCTTGACAATCACTCAAGCAACACTTTTTTCACCTCAGGGACTGGACTTCAGCAGCAGTAGTTCACTTTTTTAGGAGAAGCTGAATCCAGCTTGCAGTTTTTCTACCACTCCCAACCAGTCTTCTCTCCTCAAAGATCTGGGTTCCAGCCCCCAGGAGTCTCCTCCTCTCCTCTGAGTTCAGACACAGGAGTGCTAGCTGGCCAGTGCCTCCTTCCTCAGAGGTTTGGGTCTTAGACTTCCCCATTTTGCACTAGGAATACTTAGTAGGCCCAGATTTCTTGCATTTACATGCATAGAATTGAAATTCAGGCCATTTTATTTGGATATATTACAGGTAAAGATGTCATAAGAAGGCTTAAGGACTTGGGAACATTCCGTTTATGTGTTAATGACTCCCAAACCTGTATCTGAATACCAGATATCTTTCCCAATATAAGAATCTATATGTACCTCAAATTCAGCATGTACAAAATTAAATCATTATCTTCTCTCTTAGATCAATGAATTTTGATATTATTGGTCAGTTCCTAGCAAGTGCTATTTTTCACCTTCTCATACAGTCTTCAATTGCTGTCAGTTTTAATTCTTAAATGTTTCCTACATTCCATTGTTACTTCACAATCCCAGTTCAGGTTCACTAAACTTCTATGGTACTCCTTAAAACCCTCCTAACTTGTCTCTTTGCTTTCCAGCTGTTTCTAATGTAACCTAATATTTCTAGAGTGTGTGTGGTTCTAAAAAAGATATAAAAAGATAATACACATTTATAATTTCCGGAACACTGTTCCAGATCTGTCCAGTAACTCTGAAATACTCCAAATCATTTAAGATTTTGCTCTTCATTATTGGTTTTGAGCAGTTTGATTATGTGTCTTGGTGTCTTCTATGTTATGCTTCTTGTGCTTGTTTTCATTGAACAATACATTCATTTCTTGTTTATTAAAAACAATAAATCTGTGGGTTTATTGTTTTAATCAAGTAAAAAAAATTTTGGCCATTATTTACTCAAACATTTCTTCTGCTCCCTCTTTAGGAGTCCTCAATAACATGTGTCTTAGGCCACTTAAAGTTGTCCCACAGCTCATTAGTTTTTTTCTTTCTTTTTTTTTTTTTTTTTTTTTTTTTTTTTGAGATAGAGCCACTCTCTGTCACCCAGGCTGGAGTGCAGTGGCATGATCTCGGCTCACTGCAACCTCTGCCTTCCAGGTTCAAGTGATTCTCCTGCCTCAGCCTCCTGAGTAGCTGGGATTACAGATATGTACCACCACTCCCGGCTAGTTTTTGTATTTTTAACAGAGATGGGGGTTTTGCCGTGTTGGCCAGGCTGGTCTTGATCTCCTGACCTCAAGTGATCCAACTGCCTCAGCCTCCCAAAGTGCTGGGATTACAGGTGTGAGCCACCAAGCCCGGCAATTTCTGTATTCTTTTTCCCCATGTTTCACTTTGTATGCCTTCTATTGTTCATGTCTTCAATTCATGTACTATGTCTAATCTGCTATTAATTTTATCCAGTGTACTTTTCATCTCAGTCATTTTAGTTTTTACTCGAGTCTTTTCTTATATTTTCGTATTTCTATTTAACATTTTGAACATATGAAATACAGTTATAATAACTATTGTAATGTCCTCATCTTCTGATTCTAACATCTGTGTTGGTTCTGGGTTAGTTTCAATTGACTATTTTCCTCATTATGGGTCATATTTTTCTGCTTCTTTGTAATTTTTGTTTGAATGTCAGACATTATAAATTTTACCTTTTGAGTGTGGAATATTTTTGTGTTGTTATAAATATTCTTAAGTTTTATTCTGAAATGTTGGTTAAGTTACTTAGATATAGTTTGATCTTTTTGGGTATGACTTGTATGATTTGTTAGGTGTACACATCTATGATTTATGATTTCTTAGCTGTATTCAGTCAGAGCTAATTATTTCCTCTTAGTAAAATAAAACCTTCCTGAGTTTTCTACCCAATGCATCGGGAATTTTGAGTTTTTCCCCAACTGGCTTAAGAACAGGTACTATTCCTGACATCATGTTAACTAGGTACTGTTGTTCTCTACTTCTTTTGGATGTTTCTTCCCCAGCCTTAGGTAGTTTGCAGATCATATATACACAGACCACTACCCAGCTAAATGCTCAAGGGGACCTTGAGTATATTTCTAAGGTCTCTCTGGGGTCTATGCTCTGTCACAGAGCAGTTCTCAGGATCAAGAGTTTTTATATATGTAAAGGCCTCTAACTTGTTGCCCAACATATAATTGGGGCTCAATAAATACTTTAAAAATCAAATTTAGATCTCCAGATACAATAAACTTTAGTGGACTTTTCTCATTCTTTTTTGTTTTTTATTTTTTTTGAGACAGTCTGGCTTTGTCACCCAGGCTGGAGTGCAGTGCCGCAATCTCGGCTCACCGCAAGCTCCGCCTCCCAGGTTCACACCATTCTTCTGCCTCAGCCTCCCGAGTAGCTGGGACTACAGGTGCCCGCCACCACACCCGGCTAATTTTTTGTATTTTTAGTAGAGACGGGGTTTCACTGTGTTAGCCAGGATGGTCTCGATCTCCTGACCTCATGATCCACCCACCGCAGCCTCCCAAAGTGCTGGGATTACAGGCGTGAGCCACCGCGCCCAGCCGTCTCATTCTTTTGACTACCCAGCATCTATAATTTCTTCTAATCAGGCAGAGCTTGTCTGCCATCATAGAAACTGCAAAGAAGCAAGTCAGAGAAGAAGCAGAGACCACACTGAGTTTATTCTAGGGACAGGAAGCAGCAGGGCAGTGAGAGCAGGTCCATCCACTCTTTAGAGGCAGCATTCTCGGTGGTCATAGTAATAATGGCCCAGCAGTGCAGAAGTGCGATTTTCATTAAATCTGTTCTGTGGTGAGATTTGGGGCACTTTTCTAGCTGTGTTGCCTGGCAATCTGGTTGTTCTTCCAAAGATTCTGCATGCCATCCAGTATCCTTTAACATTTTGCATTGTTAAAGTATAGCATATATACAGAAAAACACGCACATAAATTTTTTTTTACAAAATGAATTTTTACAGACAGTGCATTTTTATAACCAGTGCTCAGATAAAGAAACAGAATATTACCAACATCCTAAAAGCTTCCTCATTCCCCCTCTAGTCACTACCATCTGCCATCCAAGGATAACCAAAATCCTGACTCCTAGCATCATAGATTAATTCTACTTGTCTTGTTTTTCTTTATACAAATAGTATCATACCACATTTGTTGTGTATGTCCAACATTATGATTGTGAAATTTATCCATGTTGTTTGGTTTAGTTGTATCTCATTCACTCTTACTAGTATAGCAAAGTATTCCATTCTATAAATATACTATAATATTTATGCATTTGTGTTGGGGGTTCTCAAGACCACCCTCAGGCTCAATGATTTGTTGGGAAGACTCACAGAACTCAGAAAAGCTGTTATACTCATGCTTAAGATTTATTTCAATAAAAGGATGCAGATTAAAATCAGCAAAGGGAATAGGTGCACAGGGTTGAGTCCAGGAGAAACCAGGCACAAGTTTCTAGCTATCATCTCCTGGTTGAGTCACGCAGATAGCGCTCAATTTTTTCAGCAATGGTATGTGGCAACACATGCAAAGTGTTGCCAACTAGGGAAGCTACTTAAGCCTTGGCATCCAGGATATTTATTGGAGACTGAACTACTCAGTCTCCAGCCCCCATAGGGTCAAATGGATACAGTGAGGCCTAAAGCCTCAGGCATACAAAAATAGGCATTTTGTTAGTGCTAACTAGCTGGCATAGCCCAAGCCATTAGGCATAAAAAGATACTCTTTTCGGGCACGATAGTCCAAGGGCTCAGACACCTTTTCCCAGGAATCAGGCTAAGGGCCATTGCTGAAGAACTTGGGAATATACAGGGTTTGAGTAGCCCAGGCCTACAGGGTTAACCCTTTATACATATCATTATACTGCTGATGAGCATCTAGGCAGTTTACATTTTTATTAATATGAATAGTGCTGCTGTGAACATTGTTGTACACATTTTTGTTAAAGATTTGTATGCATTTCTATTGGGTGGTTAACTAGAAGTGAAAATGGTAGATTATAGAATATAGCATTTGCTCAGCTTTTATATATACTGCCAAAGAGTTTTCCAAAGTGACTGTGCCAGTTTACACTCCCAGCATCAGTGTAACATATGGTTCCAATATCTTTTTTAAAAGCAGTTTTATTGGGATATAATGGACATACAATACATTCTATATTAAATTATCCAATTTGATAAATTGTGACATACATTATATTTACATCTGTAAAACCACCACCACAAGCAAGATAATAAAAGTATCATTCAAGATAATAAAAGTATCATTCAACTCCAAAAGTTTCCTTATATTTCCAGTATCCTCTCAATTGATTCATTTTTCTATTAAAAATCAGCCAGTCAGTTTCTGTTGCTTAAAACTGAGACTTCCTAGATGATATAATCCTATCTTGCATTTGTCTTGCATTTGTGCCCAGCTTGGTCCTCTGCACTTCTTTTCATTTCAATTCTTGCTGAGCAGCTTTGATGTATGCCAAGGACATAGATTCTGATTTTTGCCTGTGTGAGTCAGTTTGGTCAGATTCCAGGTCATCTGATTCTGGCTTTGTCCTCAAGACTCCTGGTGATTCCACACAGCATTTTATCTCCAGTTTTCTGCATATACTTCTTCCTGAACTACCTTACAGCCCCTGGCCCCAGTCCTTCCTGGTTGGCCCAGAACCAAACTCCTCTAGATTCATCCCTGAAAGGGTTTCCTAGATGTTAAGAGAAAGGGCTTTTTCCTCAGCTCTTCATTAAGTTGCATAGACTAGTGATATAGGTTGAATTGCATCCCTCCCTCCACCCCACCAAAATATATAGATGTCCTAACCTCCAGTACCTCAGAATGTGATTTTATATGGAGATAGGGTCTTTATTTCCATATAAGGCCATATAAGTAATCAAGTTAAAATGAGATTGGGGTGGACTCTAATCCAATATGACTAGTGTCCTTATAAAAAGGGGAAATTTGAATACAGATAACAGACATTTGAACAAATTTGGACACCATGACATAAAAACAAATAGAGGGAAGATGATGTGAAGAGAGACAAGGAAGAAAGCCATCTACAAGCCAGGGAGAGAGACCTGGAACAGATCCTTCCTTCACATCCCTCAGAAGGAACCAACCCTGCTGACACCTTGATTTCAGACTTCTAGCTTCAGAACAGTGAGACAATAAATTTCTGTTGTTTAAGCCACATCATTTGTGGTACTTTGTTAAGGCAGCTCTAGCAAATTAATACAACCAGGTAGGATGCATTAGCTTTTCTCCATCATTTTCAAATCATGTGAAGTACAACAGAGGATCAGAAGGCAGTGTCTGCCCTTTTGGAAACACTTCATTATAGAAATTGAGATTGGGGAGAAAATAACTTGGGAAGAGCAAACTAACTCAAGATTTTTTACTTTGGTCATGGCTAAATCCTGAAGTTCTATACTCCTTGTTCTTTTCTTTCCATTTTCTTGAATTGATAAGCACGATTCATTTTTCACAGCCATCTGTGGGAACACATGGACTACTTCAGTTAGTGGCTATTAAGATCTGTTCTACAGTCTGAGGGGGGTGATTTGGGAATGCTTTTCTCTTAGGTCCTTTTCATGGAAACTTTTCCAAAACAAAAGGTTAATGAAATTTCAATAGAGGCAGATACAGAATGTCTTGAAAACCCCCTGAAATATTCTCATCACCTTTAATCAGGTCATCTGACAGGCTACCTTCAAAGAACCCGACTTTAGACTGAGTCCTTGTAAGGGCTGATTTTGCTTTACTTGTAAAATGTTATAAAGTCTACTTGCCTTGTTGGTCAAAAGTTGATTAAAGAAGAAATATCAAGGAGAAAGAATGACAAACAGAAAATATATTGAAAATAACTTGGTTCCATTCTCCCTGTCACTTTCAGGTACACCAATCAGATGTAGATTTGGTCTTTTCACATAGTCCCACATTTCTTGGAGGCTTTGTTCGTTTCTTTTTACTCTTTTTTCTCTAAACTTCTCTTCTTGCTTCATTTCATTCATTTGATCTTCAGTCACTGATACTCTTTCTTCCAGTTGATCGAATCAGCTACTGAAGCTTGTGCATTCCTCATGTAGTTCTCGTGCCATGATTTTGAGCTCCACCAGGTCATTTAAGGGCTTCTCTACACTGGTTATTCTAGTTAGCCATTTGTCCAATCTTTTTTCAAGGTTTTTGGCTTCTTTGCAATGGGTTCGAACTTCCTCCTTTAGCTCGGAGAAGTTTGATCGTCTGAAGCCTTCTTCTCTCAACTCGTCAAAGTCATTCTCCGTCCAGCTTTGTTCCGTTGCTGGTGAGGAGCTGCATTCCTTTGGAGCAGGAGAGGTGCTCTGATTTTTAGAATTTTCAGCTTTTCTGCTCTGTTTTTTCCCCATCTTTGTGGTTTTATCTACCTTTGGTCTTTGATGATTGTGACGTACAGATGGGGTTTTGGTGTGGATGTTCTTTCTGTTTGTTAGTTTTCCTTCTAACAGACAGGACCCTCAGCTGCAGGTCTGTTGGAGTTTGCTGGAGGTCCACTCCAGACCCTGTTTGCCTGGGTATCAGCAGCGGAGGCTGCAGAACAGCGAATATTGCTGAATAGCAAATGTTGCTGCCTGATCGTTCCTCTGGAAGCTTTGTCTCAGAGGGGTACCCGGCCGTGTGAGGTGTCAGTCTGCCCCTACTAGGGGGTGCCTCCCAGTTAGGCTACTCGGGTGTCAGGGACCCACTTGAGGAGGCAGTCTGACCGTTCTCAGATGTCAAACTCCGTGCTGGGAGAACCACTACTCTCTTCAAATCTGTCAGACAGGGACGTTTAAGTCTACAGAGGTTTCTGCTGACTTTTGTTCAGCTATGCCCTGCTCCCAGAGGTGAAGTCTACAGAGGCAGGCAGGCCTCCTTGAGCTGCAGTAGGCTCCACCCAGTTTGAGCTTCCCGGCCTCTTTGTTTACCTACTCAAGCCTCAGCAATGGCAGGCGTCCCTCCCCCAGCCTCACTGCCGCCTTGCAGTTCGATCTCAGACTGCTGTGCTGGCAATGAGCGAGGCTCCGAATGGGCATATGATTTATTGCCCTTCCAGTTCAATCTGACAATAGAGAATATAATAAATTTGCCCCCCTGAGGAACTTCTTTTCCACTTCAAGTCCTTCGTTTGGCTATTTTCACCCTCCAATCTCTATCCTTTTCTAGTTTTTAGGTCTAAATTTGCAGATATTTCAGCAAAGCTGCATAATGACCTATTTGGTTGAGTCTTGGGAGTCAGATTCTGATTGCTTCTTGGAAGTGAGCACAGCGATATCCCCTGGGGCCTTGCTCTGATGCTATTAGTGAATATCTTGGTTTCCTGGAGATCAGAGATCCCTTTCTGCAGCTCTGGCTCCATTTCCTCCCGCTTCCATGGACAAGTGTCACTCCGCTGTCTACAGAGGTTGCTTTTTTCTTCTTTTTTAAAAATTGAGATTAAATCCATATAACATAAAATTTACTGTTTTAACCTTTTTAAAGTGTACATTTTGGTGGTTTTTAGTATATTCGCAGTGTTGTGCAGCTATCAGCACTAACTCCAGAATGTTTCCAGCACCCCCCAATAAAACCCTGTACCCATTAACTGTCATGTCCTGATTCCTCCATCTCCCTTTTCCCTGGTACCCTCTAATCTATTTTCTGTCTCTATGGATTTGCCTATTCTGGTTATTTCATATAAATTGAATTATACAATACTTGGACTTTGTGTCTAGCTTCTTTCACTTAGCATGTTTTCAGGTTTCATCCATGTTGTAGCATGTTTCGGTATTCTATTCCTTTATTTGGCTATCATCCCATTGTATAGATATACATTTTATTTTTATTTATTTATTAATTCATCAATTGATTAACATTTGGGTTGTTTCCATTTTTGGGCTATTATGAATAATGCAGCTATAAATATTCAGGTATAAGTTTTAGTGTGGACATATGTTTTCATTTGTACGTATATGTATTAATATATCCACAGGGTATATACCTGTGATTGGAATTGCTGGGTCATATAGTAACTCTATGTTTATGTTTTTGAAGAACTTTCAACCATTTTTTAGTCTTTTCGGGGAGAATAAGATGATAAGATTGATTTCAGACACACTGATGTTTAGGAGAAGCTGAGCTATCAGAGAGAAATGCCCACCATGAGTTGAAGATGCAAGAGTGGAGCCCAGGTAGGCATATCAAGATTGCATATGTCAACTTGGGAATCATTCAAATGCAGTGACTGCTAAACCTATGAGGGAGATGAGGTCTTTGAGGGTGATAACAGATAGAGAGAAGAAAATATGAGGAGCCTATGATAGGCCCAGCACTGCCTAGGATTGTACTTTACTTGTGTCATTAGTTTAATCATTACAACATAATTAAGTGAATGCTACTATTAGCCCCATTTTATAGATAGGGCAACTGAAGCTCACTGAGGTTAAGCATAGGAGCTAGTTTGCATAGTTTGTATACAGCAGAGCCAGGATTTAAATGCTGGCAAAGAACATAGATATAGCCAGAAGACATTTAGAAGATGAAAGCAAATTAAAAAGAAAGAGAGAGACCCATTAAGTGCAATAGGATGGGATAAGTGAGTTATTGTGTTCCAGACTAAAAGGAAGAAATTTTTTTGTTTTTTGTTTTAGAAGGAATATGTCAATTGTGCAGACTGTTACAAAGGCATCAAGTAAACACAGAAATGGGATAATATCTAATTATCCCATTTCTGACCCGTTACAATTCTCAGGATGTTTGCTATTTAGCTTTTAACTGATCTGTCCTGGCTGCTGCTCTATATGCATTTTCCTCTGCAGAACACCAGGACATCACTGGGTTGCTATTATAGACAATAAATGCATTTCAGAATGAGTAAGGAAACCGATTATTTACAGAGAAAACAGTTTCACAAAAACTTTTTTTTTTTTTTTTTTTTTGAGACAGACTCTCACTCTGTCACCCAGGTTGGAGTGCAGTGGCACAATCCTGGCTCACTGCAACCCCCGCCTCCTGAGTTCAGAGGATTCTCCTGCCTCAACCTCCTGAGTAGTTGGAATTACAAGCACATGCCACCATGCCTGGCTAATTTTTGTATTTTCAGTAGAGACGGGGTTTCACGATGTTGGTCAGGCTGGTCTTGAATTCCTGACCTCAGGTAATCCGCCTGCCTCGGCCTCCCAAAATGCTGGGATTACAGGTGTGAGTCACTGAGCCCGACCAAAAACTAAAATTTTTCAGTAAAATGAGATTCTTTCATGGTAAATCATGAAGTAAAATTTTGAATGCATAACACTAAATAACTCTTAGTACTAGAAGGAAAAAGAATTATATTGTAGCACTGAAATAAAACTGTATTGTATGGGTAATGAAGCAGTACCCTCACCTTTCTTCAGTATTTTATATCTTTGGCTTTTTTCCCCCCTTTTCAGATGGTGGCAGGTGGACTTGAGATTAAAGTGCCATTATTTCAGAGCACTGAAGCACATCCACGTAATGATGACATTATGTGAGAAATCTCGGGCAGTTTCAGTCCGTCAAGTCTTTTTCATTAGTAGTCGCAGGTATTGCTGGGGCTAGAGTCTTCCCCCGCTTCAGACTGTTGGTTTATTTGGCACTTCAGGATATTTTCAAAGATAAAATAAGGTTGGATTCCCTGAAAAACCAATTATAAAAGCTTTCCATACAAAGCTTTTGTATGGAAAATTGCCATGAAAAACTAAGGAACAAATGTTTTTAAGAGAAAAATAAGGTAAGAATAAAGTGAAATGGATGTCGTAGTAAGTCTCTGTTATTCGCAAGTCAATGGGTGACAACCAAGCAACTAACTAGAATACATTCACCCACTGGCTTGTCTGCAACTCAATTTTACAGGCCGCTCTTTGTTAGAAAACAAATGGTTTGGGGGCTGCTTTTTATTAAAAGAAAAGCCTTACCGAGAGCTCCTATGCCCTCACTATCTGGCTAAATAGCTTTTTCTAACTCCTATATTACTAGTTGCCTGGTACCTGGCACTGGGATGATTAAGGCAGAGGAATATTGTCTCTTGGGTGTATAAGTCAGATAGTTGAGGCAAGACTCTGGATTGGTTAGTTTGTATATCAAAGGCATGCATGCTCCTGGCTGAGTCTTTTGCTGTCTCTAAGAATTGGCTAACCCTGAAAGGGGCTGTCTCTCCCCAGCTAGATAGGTTTTTTTAAGATGTCAAAACATCATAACATAGAAAAATTTAAAAATATACAATCGAAAATGTGAGTTTTTTCCATAATTTGTTAATTATCATGAAAAGGCTAAAGCAATGAAGCATTGTTCTATTCTGAATATGAAAGAGGTAGTTACATTAAACTGAACTACAAGGTACTGTAAGAAAAGAAACCAAGTTCATTGAAGTCTTCCCAGTTTGGGCCATTTTCTAACATTAATTACATCTATGTTAATTACTTTTTGTTGATTATTCAAATTCATTCTATTTATTTATTTATAGGTAGACTCTAGCTCTCACCTAAAAGGGATTTAGAAAGGAAAAAAGACCTAAAATCAAATTTGGATAAGTAATATTAAAAAGCTGTTAATGTCCCATCAATCTGCAGAAAGCAGAGTACATTAGTATATTAATGTGGGCAGCAAAGGCTATCTGGTTAATACAGGAAAATTTCAGAGAGATTTATGTTCACTCTTCATCTCTTTTGCATCATTTTTTTCTTCAGGGTTGCCTGTCTTCCTTGTTACTAGTCCTTTGTGGTTTGTGTACTATTTGATCTCTTCTCTAAGGTTTTATTAGAGTTTTGATACCAACTTTTTTTTTTTATAAGTGAAGGAAAACATCAGACATAGCTTTATTGCTGACTCCAGCCCCCTTCAGAGCCCATAGTCACAGGCCTCCAGGCTGTAAGTAGAGCTCTGTGAAACCTTGCCAGTCCTTCACACCAGTGAGCAGGGCTGAGACTGTGGGATCTTCCCTCATGGCTGCCATCCACAGTTTAAGTTCTGGAGTGTGTTCTACACACTCATTTAACTTCATTGCTTCCAGCCGTTCAAACGAGGGCCAGATGACGTAGTCAATCATAGAGATGGAACTGCCACCAAAGAAGGTTGTCTTCTTATTAATCAGAACCTCCTCTAGCTTGCTAAATTCTTTACACAATGCTTCTTTCAGGCCAGCACCATCTTCCTTATTTTGGGTTCTAAGGAAGCTTCCTACCAAAGATGGCACCTTAGAAAACAACTCAAAGACCATCTTCTGGCAAGCTTTGTCATAGGGGTCATCCGGCAACAGCTTCTTCCCTGAGTATGCTTCATCCAGGTACTCACAGGTGATGGCAGACTCGTAGATCAGCTGACCCTGACTGTTTTCCAGAACTGGCACCAAACTAAAGGGATTTTTCTTAAAGAACCACTCAGGCTTATCTTTCAGGTTGATATAGATTACTTCATGCCTGATTCCCTCGGCCTTCAGAACCAGATGCGTCCTCTCAGCAAACGGGCAGAACCTCATGCTGCAAATGCAGATCAGGCCCTCTGGGACCAGCCCCAGGGGCGTGCTTCCCTTCCCCGGGCTCCTGGCTGACTCCTCTAACATCGCAGCGCAGCGCAGGCCAAGCTGCCAGTGCCGCGGGCTCTCGACATCAACATTTTGAACATTTGACATCTCTTTAAACTTTAAAATATTTAATGAAGTAAAAAAAACATCTCCAAAGTTATACAAACACATATTTTTGAGTAATCATTGAGTATTGACACATTTAGATTAGTATGACATTCTTATAACTACACTATTAAGTTCAAAAAGGAAGATACATTTCTATTTAGCGTTACTCATAAAAAAATTCAAAACTCAGGTTTTTGTTTTGTTTTGTTGTTCTTATTTGGTTTTTGGAGACAGAATCTTGCTCCGTTGCCCAGGCTGGAATGCAGTGGCGCAATCTCAGCTCACTGCAGCCTCCGCCTCCCAGGTTCAAGCAATTCTCTTGCCTCAGCCTCCTGAATAGCTGGGATTACAGGCATGCACCACCACGCTCGGCTAACTTTTGTATTTTTAGTAGAGACGGGGCTTTGCTATGTTGGCCGGGCTGGTCTCAAACTCCTGGCCTCAAGCAATCCACCTGCCTCAGCCTCTCAAAGTGCTGGAATTATAGGCTTGAGCCACCGTGCCTGGCCTCAAAACTCAGTTTTTAAAGATAAAGTAAAGAAATACTCAGGAGCTCATTCATTTCACATCTGTCACCTGACAGTGTCTACAGTTATTAATGACCTCATGTTGTTTTCATTGCATTTGCATGCCTGTGCATAAATCGTCCAGAATCATTATATGAACTACTTTCAGCTAAACCTTGGGAGAAATCATGCCTTGCATTTCAGACAAAGAAGTGACCAGTCCAGGGAGGGAATCAACCATGCTTACAACATTGCTGCTAATAGGTAATCTTTTTAAAAAAATGTATTTACTGCCTGCC